>NC_000024.10:11337032-11592902 GCF_000001405.40 Homo sapiens | reverse complement strand
GAATTCCATTCCATTCCATTAGGGTCCATTCCATTCCTTTCCAATCCGTTCGATATCTTTCCATTACCTTCCATTCCATTCCATTCCATTCCATTCCATTCTATTCCTTTCCATTCCATTTCATTCCATTCCATTCCAGTCCGTTCTACTCCGATCCAATGGAGACCATTCCATTCCATTCCGTTCCGTTCGATTCCAATCAGTTCGATTCCGTTTTGTCCCTCGTCCATTTCTTTTGAGTCCATTCCATTCCATTTCATTCCATTCGATTCCATTACACTCGATTTCACTCCGTACCTTTCCTTTCCTTTGCATTCCATTCTATTCCATTGCATTGAACTCAAATCCCTTCAATTTTATTACATTCCATTCGATTCCATTCCCTTTGAATCAATTACATTGCAATCCATTAAATTCGAGTCTGTTCTCTTCCAGTCCATTCCATTCCCGTCCATTCCATTTGATTCCATTCCAATCGATTCCATTCCACTTCATTCAACTCCATTCCACTCCGTTGCATTCCATGCTATTCCATTCCAGTACAATCCTATCCATTCCATTGGATTCCATTCCATTCAATTCCATTCCATTTGAATGAATTAGAATTCAATCCATTACACTGCAGTCCGTTCTATGGCAGTCCATTCCATACTGGTCCATTCTATTTGATTCCATTACATTCGATTCCATTCCATTCTGTTGCATTCCATTCGATTCCATTGTATTGAATAAATTCCATTTGAGACCTTTCCTTTCGATTCCGTTCTATTTGAGTATATTCCTTTCGAGTGCATTACATTTGGGTCCATTCCATTCCATTCAATTCCATTCCATTTAGTATCTTACCATTACACGCCATTCCATCCTATTCTTTTCAATTCCATTGAATTCGTTTCCATTCCATTTGTCTCTTCTCCATTCGAGTCCATTCCATGCCGTTGCATTCCATTCCGTTCGATTCCAATCTGTTCAAATCCATTTTGATCCATTCCATTCCATTGGAGTCCATTACATTCCTGTCCATTCCTTCGTCTCCATTCCATTAAATTCCATTCCATTCCATTATATTCAATATCATCCCTTTACACTCCATTCCTTTCTATTATTTTTGATTCCATTCACTTGCAATCCATTTGATTACATTCCATTCTATTCCTTTACATTCCTCTCTACTCCAGTCGAGTACATTTCATTCCATTCCATTCTGTTCGACTCCAATCCATTTGATTCAATTTGGTTGGACTCCATTCCTTTCGAGTCCATTCCTTTTGAGTCCACTCCATTCCATTCCATTCCTTTTGATGACACTCTATTCGACTCCATTTCATGAAACTCCATTCCATTCCATTCTGTCCAATCGGATTCCATAACATTCTATTCCTTTCCATTCCATTCCGTTCCATTCTTTTCATTCCATTCGATTCCATTCCACTCCAGTCCATTCCATTGGAGACCATTCCATTCCAATCCATTTCTTTCCACTCCATTCCTTTCCATTCAATTCATTTCCATTCCATTTCATTCCAATCGATATCTTTCCATTACTCTCAATTCCATTCTCTTCCTTTCTGTTCCATTCCATTGCATTCCATTTCAATCCATTCCATTCGATGCGTTTGCATTTGACTCCATTCCATTCGTGTCCATTCCATCCCATTCCTGTCCATTTGATTCCTTTTTGTTCCAGTCCATTTCTTTCGAGTCAATTCCTTTCGAGTCAATTCCATTCAAGTCCATTCAATTCGATTTTGTTCCCATTGATTCCATTCCACTCGATTCCATTCCACTCGATTCCATTCCACTTGATTCCACTCTGCTCCTTTCCAATGCATTCCATTCTACTCCATTATATTGAATTCCGTTCCATTCCATTTGATTCCATTCCATTCGATTCCATTCCATTCGATTCCATTCAATGGTATTGTATTCCATTTGATTCCATTCTATTCAAATAAATTCCGCTCGAGGCCATTCCTTTCGACACTATTATATTTCAGTCGATTCCATTGGTGTCCATTACATTTGAGTCCATTCCATTCCATTCGGTTCCGTTCCATTCCGTTCCATTCCATTTCATTCGATGCCATTCGATTCCAATATCTTCCATTGCTTTCCATTCCATTCAAGTCCCTTTCATTCAATACCATTCCCATCGATTCTATTTTATTTGAATCCATTCTATTCCAATCCATTCCATTCCATTCCATTTGATTCCCTTCCTTTCAATTCCATTTCATTCCATTCCATTTCATTCCATTCCATTCGTTTCCATTCCATTTGTGTACATTCCTCTCCAGTCCGTTCTGATCGAGTCCATTCCATTCCAGTGCATTCCATTCGAGTTCATTCCATTCCCTTCCTTTCGATATCATTCAATTACACTCGATGCCTTTCTATTCCTTTTGATTCCATTCAATTCCATTCCATTGGATTCCATTCCTTTTTAGGTCCATTACATTCGAATACATTCCATTCGAGTCCATTCCACTCCATTCCATTCCATTCCTTTCTGTTCCGTTCGATTCTATTCCAGTAGATTCCTTTGCTTTCCATTCCATTCCATTCCATTCCTTGCCATTCCATTTGAATCCATTCCACTCCAGTCCATTCCAATCGAGTCCATTCCATTCGATTGCATTCCATTCCATTTGAATAAATTACATTGCAATATATTACGTTCCTGTCCATTCACTTCCAGTTCATTCCATTCCTGTCCATTCCATTCAATTCCATTCCATTCGATTCGATTCAATAGTATTGCATTCCATTCGATTCCATTCTATTGGAATAAATTCGATTTGACACCTTTCCTTAACAGTCCAATATATTCGCGTCCTTTCCATTCCATTCCATTCCATTTATTCCATTGCATTCGATTCCTTTCCATTGCATTGCCTTCCATTCCATTTCTTTACATTCTATTCGATTCCATTCCATTTGAATCAATTATATTGCAATTTATTTCATTTGAGTCCGTTCAATTGCACTCCATTCCGTTCCATTCCATTCCATTCTATTCCATTCTATTCGATACCATTCCATACTATTGCATTCCATTCAATATCATTCTATTCGAATAAATTACATTCGAGACCGTTTCTTTCCACTTCATTCTCTTTGAGTCCCTTTTATTTGAGTCTATTACTTTTGGGCCCATCCCATTCCAATCCATTTCATTCCATTCCATTCCATTCCATTCCATGCCATGCCATTCCATTCCATGACATTCAATTCCGTTCCATTCCATTCCATTCCATTCCATTCCATTCCATTCTATGCCATTACATTTCATTCTATTCGATTCGTGTCCATTCCATTCGATTGCATTCCATTCCATTCAAATCCACTCCATTCAATTCTGCTCCAGTCGAATCCATTCCATTCCATTTCGTTCCATTTGATTACATTCCATTCTATTCCTTTCCATTCCATTCCTTTCCAATCCATTCGAGACCATTCCACTCCAATCCATTCCATTCGAGTCCATTCTATTGCGCTCGTTTTCATTTGAGTCCTTTCCATTCCAGTCCATTCCATTCGTGTCCACTCAATTCCATTCCATTATTTTAATATCTTTCCGTTAATCTCCATTCCATTCTATTCATTTCTATTCCATTCAATTCCATTTCATTGGATTCCATTCCTTTCGATTCCGTTACATGTCACTCCATTCCATTCCAGTCCATTCCATTCGCGTACATTCCATTCAATTCCATTCGATATCTTTCGATGAAACTTTATTTCTTTCTACTGTTTTTGACTCCATTCAATTACATTCCAATTCGTTCCATTCCATTCGATTCCATTCCATTCGAATCCATTCCATTCCATTCCATTCCATTCCATTCCATTCCATTCCTTTCCATTCGAATCCAATACACTCAATTCCAATTTATTCCAATGCATTCCATTCGAGTCCATTATATTTACTTCCATTCCATTCTATTCTATTCCATTTGAGTACATTCCATTCGAGTCCATTCCATTCCTTTCTATTCCATTCCATTACATTCCATTCCATCCATTCGATGCCATTCCATTCGATTCTATTCCATTCCTTTCTGTTCCATCTGATTCCATTCTATTCCATTCCATTCAATGCGATTCCTTTCTATTCTATTCCTTTAGTTTCCATTCCATTCAATTCCGTTCCATCCGATTCCATTCCATTCTATTCCTTTCCTTTCAATTCCCTTCCTTTCCTTTCCATTGTTTTCCATTCCATTCGATTCCATTCAACTCTAGTACATTCCATTCGAGTCCATTCCATTCCATTATATTCCTTTCGAGTCCATTCAATTCTTTTCCATTCGATATTTTACCTTTTAACTCCATTGCATTCCATTTCGTTCAATGCCATTCCATTTTATTATATTCCTTTCATGTCGTTTCCATTGGAGTCCGCTCCATTCCTTGCCATTGGATGCCATTCCATTATATTGAATTCCATTCTATTTCTTTCCTTTTGACTACATTCCACTGAAATCCATTGCACTCCATTATACACCGTCCCATTGCCTTCCATTCCATTCCATTCCATGGCATTCCTTCCATTACATTTCATTACATTCCATCCGATTCCATTCCATTCCAGTCTATTCCATTCCATTGCGTTACTTTCTATGCCATTCCATGCATTCAATTCCGTTCTACTTGATTACATTCCATTCGATTTCAGTCCTTTCGAATCTAATACATTGTCATCCATTACATTCGAGGCTGTTCTATGTGAGTCCATTCCACTCGGGTCCATTCCATTCGATTCCATTCCATTTGATTCCATGCCACACTGCTGCATTCCATTGAATTCCACTCTTTTCGAATAAATTCCATTCAATACCATTCCCTTCTCTTCCATTCTATTTGTGTCCATTCCATTCGAGTTCATTACGTTTAGTTCCATTCCATTCTATTCTAATCCATTTGAGTACATTCCATTCGAGTCCATTCCATTCCATTCCATTCCATTCGATATCATTCTACACGATTATTTTCCATTCGACTCCATTACATTGCATTCCATTCTATCCGATTCCATTCCATTCTTTACCTTTCCGTTCCTTTCTATTCCATTCCATTCGTATCCATTCCTTTCCATTCCATATCTTTCCATTCGGTGACATTCCAATCCATTCTTTTCCTTTCGCCTCCATTCCATTCCATAGTATTTATTCTACTCCATTCCTTTCCATTGCATTCCATTCGTTTCCGTTCCATTCGTTTTCATTGCACGCCAGTCTATTCCATTCTATTCCATTCCATTCTTGTCCATTCCATTCGATTTCTTTTCGATTCATTCCATTCAATATCTTTCCTTTGCACTCCATTTTGTTCTATTACTTTCAATTCCATTCAATTCCTTTCCTTTCTGTTCCATTGCATTCGACTCCATTCCATTGGAGCCATTCCATTGCATTCCATTCCATTCCATTACATTCTGTTCCATTCCAATCTGGTGCAATCCATTTTATTCCTTTCCACTCCATTTGAGTACAATCCATTCCAGTCCATTCTATTCGAGTCCATTCCTTTCGAGTCCATTCCACTCCAGTCAATTACATTCGACTCCATTTCACTCCAGTCCATTCCATTCGTTTCTGTTGAATTCCATTCCATTCCATTAGGGTCCATTCCATTCCTTTCCAATCCGTTCGATATCTTTCCATTACCTTCCATTCCATTCCATTCCATTCCATTCCATTCTATTCCTTTCCATTCCATTTCATTCCATTCCATTCCAGTCCGTTCTACTCCGATCCAATGGAGACCATTCCATTCCATTCCGTTCCGTTCGATTCCAATCAGTTCGATTCCGTTTTGTCCCTCGTCCATTTCTTTTGAGTCCATTCCATTCCATTTCATTCCATTCGATTCCATTACACTCGATTTCACTCCGTACCTTTCCTATCCTTTGCATTCCATTCTATTCCATTGCATTGAACTCAAATCCCTTCAATTTTATTACATTCCATTCGATTCCATTCCCTTTGAATCAATTACATTGCAATCCATTAAATTCGAGTCTGTTCTCTTCCAGTCCATTCCATTCCCGTCCATTCCATTTGATTCCATTCCGATCGATTCCATTCCACTTCATTCAACTCCATTCCACTCCGTTGCATTCCATGCTATTCCATTCCAGTACAATCCTATCCATTCCATTGGATTCCATTCCATTCAATTCCATTCCATTTGAATGAATTAGAATTCAATCCATTACACTGCAGTCCGTTCTATGGCAGTCCATTCCATACTGGTCCATTCTATTTGATTCCATTACATTCGATTCCATTCCATTCTATTGCATTCCATTCGATTCCATTGTATTGAATAAATTCCATTTGAGACCTTTCCTTTCGATTCCGTTCTATTTGAGTATATTCCTTTCGAGTGCATTACATTTGGGTCCATTCCATTCCATTCAATTCCATTCCATTTAGTATCTTACCATTACACGCCATTCCATCCTATTCTTTTCAATTCCATTGAATTCGTTTCCATTCCATTTGTCTCTTCTCCATTCGAGTCCATTCCATGCCGTTGCATTCCATTCCGTTCGATTCCAATCTGTTCAAATCCATTTTGATCCATTCCATTCCATTGGAGTCCATTACATTCCTGTCCATTCCTTCGTCTCCATTCCATTAAATTCCATTCCATTCCATTATATTCAATATCATCCCTTTACACTCCATTCCTTTCTATTATTTTTGATTCCATTCACTTGCAATCCATTTGATTACATTCCATTCTATTCCTTTACATTCCTCTCTACTCCAGTCGAGTACATTTCATTCCATTCCATTCTGTTCGACTCCAATCCATTTGATTCAATTTGGTTGGACTCCATTCCTTTCGAGTCCATTCCTTTTGAGTCCACTCCATTCCATTCCATTCCTTTTGATGACACTCTATTCGACTCCATTTCATGAAACTCCATTCCATTCCATTCTGTCCAATCGGATTCCATAACATTCTATTCCTTTCCATTCCATTCCGTTCCATTCTTTTCATTCCATTCGATTCCATTCCACTCCAGTCCATTCCATTGGAGACCATTCCATTCCAATCCATTTCTTTCCACTCCATTCCTTTCCATTCAATTCATTTCCATTCCATTTCATTCCAATCGATATCTTTCCATTACTCTCAATTCCATTCTCTTCCTTTCTGTTCCATTCCATTGCATTCCATTTCAATCCATTCCATTCGATGCGTTTGCATTTGACTCCATTCCATTCGTGTCCATTCCATCCCATTCCTGTCCATTTGATTCCTTTTTGTTCCAGTCCATTTCTTTCGAGTCAATTCCTTTCGAGTCAATTCCATTCAAGTCCATTCAATTCGATTTTGTTCCCATTGATTCCATTCCACTCGATTCCATTCCACTCGATTCCATTCCACTTGATTCCACTCTGCTCCTTTCCAATGCATTCCATTCTACTCCATTATATTGAATTCCGTTCCATTCCATTTGATTCCATTCCATTCGATTCCATTCCATTCGATTCCATTCAATGGTATTGTATTCCATTTGATTCCATTCTATTCAAATAAATTCCGCTCGAGGCCATTCCTTTCGACACTATTATATTTCAGTCGATTCCATTGGTGTCCATTACATTTGAGTCCATTCCATTCCATTCGGTTCCGTTCCATTCCGTTCCATTCCATTTCATTCGATGCCATTCGATTCCAATATCTTCCATTGCTTTCCATTCCATTCAAGTCCCTTTCATTCAATACCATTCCCATCGATTCTATTTTATTTGAATCCATTCTATTCCAATCCATTCCATTCCATTCCATTTGATTTCCTTCCTTTCAATTCCATTTCATTCCATTCCATTTCATTCCATTCCATTCGTTTCCATTCCATTTGTGTACATTCCTCTCCAGTCCGTTCTGATCGAGTCCATTCCATTCCAGTGCATTCCATTCGAGTTCATTCCATTCCCTTCCTTTCGATATCATTCAATTACACTCGATGCCTTTCTATTCCTTTTGATTCCATTCAATTCCATTCCATTGGATTCCATTCCTTTTTAGGTCCATTACATTCGAATACATTCCATTCGAGTCCATTCCACTCCATTCCATTCCATTCCTTTCTGTTCCGTTCGATTCTATTCCAGTAGATTCCTTTGCTTTCCATTCCATTCCATTCCATTCCTTGCCATTCCATTTGAATCCATTCCACTCCAGTCCATTCCAATCGAGTCCATTCCATTCGATTGCATTCCATTCCATTTGAATAAATTACATTGCAATATATTACGTTCCTGTCCATTCACTTCCAGTTCATTCCATTCCTGTCCATTCCATTCAATTCCATTCCATTCGATTCGATTCAATAGTATTGCATTCCATTCGATTCCATTCTATTGGAATAAATTCGATTTGACACCTTTCCTTAACAGTCCAATATATTCGCGTCCTTTCCATTCCATTCCATTCCATTTATTCCATTTCATTCGATTCCTTTCCATTGCATTGCCTTCCATTCCATTTGTTTACATTCTATTCGATTCCATTCCATTTGAATCAATTATATCGCAATTTATTGCATTTGAGTCCGTTCAATTGCACTCCATTCCGTTCCATTCCATTCCATTCTATTCCATTCTATTCGATACCATTCCATACTATTGCATTCCATTCAATATCATTCTATTCGAATAAATTACATTCGAGACCGTTTCTTTCCACTTCATTCTCTTTGAGTCCCTTTTATTTGAGTCTATTACTTTTGGGCCCATCCCATTCCAATCCATTTCATTCCATTCCATTCCATTCCATTCCATGCCATGCCATTCCATTCCATGACATTCAATTCCGTTCCATTCCATTCCATTCCATTCCATTCCATTCCATTCCATTCTATGCCATTACATTTCATTCTATTCGATTCGTGTCCATTCCATTCGATTGCATTCCATTCCATTCAAATCCACTCCATTCAATTCTGCTCCAGTCGAATCCATTCCATTCCATTTCGTTCCATTTGATTACATTCCATTCTATTCCTTTCCATTCCATTCCTTTCCAATCCATTCGAGACCATTCCACTCCAATCCATTCCATTCGAGTCCATTCTATTGCGCTCGTTTTCATTTGAGTCCTTTCCATTCCAGTCCATTCCATTCGTGTCCACTCAATTCCATTCCATTATTTTAATATCTTTCCGTTAATCTCCATTCCATTCTATTCATTTCTATTCCATTCAATTCCATTTCATTGGATTCCATTCCTTTCGATTCCGTTACATGTCACTCCATTCCATTCCAGTCCATTCCATTCGCGTACATTCCATTCAATTCCATTCGATATCTTTCGATGAAACTTTATTTCTTTCTACTGTTTTTGACTCCATTCAATTACATTCCAATTCGTTCCATTCCATTCGATTCCATTCCATTCGAATCCATTCCATTCCATTCCATTCCATTCCATTCCATTCCATTCCTTTCCATTCGAATCCAATACACTCAATTCCAATTTATTCCAATGCATTCCATTCGAGTCCATTATATTTACTTCCATTCCATTCTATTCTATTCCATTTGAGTACATTCCATTCGAGTCCATTCCATTCCTTTCTATTCCATTCCATTACATTCCATTCCATCCATTCGATGCCATTCCATTCGATTCTATTCCATTCCTTTCTGTTCCATCTGATTCCATTCTATTCCATTCCATTCAATGCGATTCCTTTCTATTCTATTCCTTTAGTTTCCATTCCATTCAATTCCGTTCCATCCGATTCCATTCCATTCTATTCCTTTCCTTTCAATTCCCTTCCTTTCCTTTCCATTGTTTTCCATTCCATTCGATTCCATTCAACTCTAGTACATTCCATTCGAGTCCATTCCATTCCATTATATTCCTTTCGAGTCCATTCAATTCTTTTCCATTCGATATTTTACCTTTTAACTCCATTGCATTCCATTTCGTTCAATGCCATTCCATTTTATTATATTCCTTTCATGTCGTTTCCATTGGAGTCCGCTCCATTCCTTGCCATTGGATGCCATTCCATTATATTGAATTCCATTCTATTTCTTTCCTTTTGACTACATTCCACTGAAATCCATTGCACTCCATTATACACCGTCCCATTGCATTCCATTCCATTCCATTCCATGGCATTCCTTCCATTACATTTCATTACATTCCATCCGATTCCATTCCATTCCAGTCTATTCCATTCCATTGCGTTACTTTCTATGCCATTCCATGCATTCAATTCCGTTCTACTTGATTACATTCCATTCGATTTCAGTCCTTTCGAATCTAATACATTGTCATCCATTACATTCGAGGCTGTTCTATGTGAGTCCATTCCACTCGGGTCCATTCCATTCGATTCCATTCCATTTGATTCCATGCCACACTGCTGCATTCCATTGAATTCCACTCTTTTCGAATAAATTCCATTCAATACCATTCCCTTCTCTTCCATTCTATTTGTGTCCATTCCATTCGAGTTCATTACGTTTAGTTCCATTCCATTCTATTCTAATCCATTTGAGTACATTCCATTCGAGTCCATTCCATTCCATTCCATTCCATTCGATATCATTCTACACGATTATTTTCCATTCGACTCCATTACATTGCATTCCATTCTATCCGATTCCATTCCATTCTTTACCTTTCCGTTCCTTTCTATTCCATTCCATTCGTATCCATTCCTTTCCATTCCATATCTTTCCATTCGGTGACATTCCAATCCATTCTTTTCCTTTCGCCTCCATTCCATTCCATAGTATTTATTCTACTCCATTCCTTTCCATTGCATTCCATTCGTTTCCGTTCCATTCGTTTTCATTGCACGCCAGTCTATTCCATTCTATTCCATTCCATTCTTGTCCATTCCATTCGATTTCTTTTCGATTCATTCCATTCAATATCTTTCCTTTGCACTCCATTTTGTTCTATTACTTTCAATTCCATTCAATTCCTTTCCTTTCTGTTCCATTGCATTCGACTCCATTCCATTGGAGCCATTCCATTGCATTCCATTCCATTCCATTACATTCTGTTCCATTCCAATCTGGTGCAATCCATTTTATTCCTTTCCACTCCATTCGAGTACAATCCATTCCAGTCCATTCTATTCGAGTCCATTCCTTTCGAGTCCATTCCACTCCAGTCAATTACATTCGACTCCATTTCACTCCAGTCCATTCCATTCGTTTCTGTTGAATTCCATTCCATTCCATTAGGGTCCATTCCATTCCTTTCCAATCCGTTCGATATCTTTCCATTACCTTCCATTCCATTCCATTCCATTCCATTCCATTCTATTCCTTTCCATTCCATTTCATTCCATTCCATTCCAGTCCGTTCTACTCCGATCCAATGGAGACCATTCCATTCCATTCCGTTCCGTTCGATTCCAATCAGTTCGATTCCGTTTTGTCCCTCGTCCATTTCTTTTGAGTCCATTCCATTCCATTTCATTCCATTCGATTCCATTACACTCGATTTCACTCCGTACCTTTCCTATCCTTTGCATTCCATTCTATTCCATTGCATTGAACTCAAATCCCTTCAATTTTATTACATTCCATTCGATTCCATTCCCTTTGAATCAATTACATTGCAATCCATTAAATTCGAGTCTGTTCTCTTCCAGTCCATTCCATTCCCGTCCATTCCATTTGATTCCATTCCGATCGATTCCATTCCACTTCATTCAACTCCATTCCACTCCGTTGCATTCCATGCTATTCCATTCCAGTACAATCCTATCCATTCCATTGGATTCCATTCCATTCAATTCCATTCCATTTGAATGAATTAGAATTCAATCCATTACACTGCAGTCCGTTCTATGGCAGTCCATTCCATACTGGTCCATTCTATTTGATTCCATTACATTCGATTCCATTCCATTCTATTGCATTCCATTCGATTCCATTGTATTGAATAAATTCCATTTGAGACCTTTCCTTTCGATTCCGTTCTATTTGAGTATATTCCTTTCGAGTGCATTACATTTGGGTCCATTCCATTCCATTCAATTCCATTCCATTTAGTATCTTACCATTACACGCCATTCCATCCTATTCTTTTCAATTCCATTGAATTCGTTTCCATTCCATTTGTCTCTTCTCCATTCGAGTCCATTCCATGCCGTTGCATTCCATTCCGTTCGATTCCAATCTGTTCAAATCCATTTTGATCCATTCCATTCCATTGGAGTCCATTACATTCCTGTCCATTCCTTCGTCTCCATTCCATTAAATTCCATTCCATTCCATTATATTCAATATCATCCCTTTACACTCCATTCCTTTCTATTATTTTTGATTCCATTCACTTGCAATCCATTTGATTACATTCCATTCTATTCCTTTACATTCCTCTCTACTCCAGTCGAGTACATTTCATTCCATTCCATTCTGTTCGACTCCAATCCATTTGATTCAATTTGGTTGGACTCCATTCCTTTCGAGTCCATTCCTTTTGAGTCCACTCCATTCCATTCCATTCCTTTTGATGACACTCTATTCGACTCCATTTCATGAAACTCCATTCCATTCCATTCTGTCCAATCGGATTCCATAACATTCTATTCCTTTCCATTCCATTCCGTTCCATTCTTTTCATTCCATTCGATTCCATTCCACTCCAGTCCATTCCATTGGAGACCATTCCATTCCAATCCATTTCTTTCCACTCCATTCCTTTCCATTCAATTCATTTCCATTCCATTTCATTCCAATCGATATCTTTCCATTACTCTCAATTCCATTCTCTTCCTTTCTGTTCCATTCCATTGCATTCCATTTCAATCCATTCCATTCGATGCGTTTGCATTTGACTCCATTCCATTCGTGTCCATTCCATCCCATTCCTGTCCATTTGATTCCTTTTTGTTCCAGTCCATTTCTTTCGAGTCAATTCCTTTCGAGTCAATTCCATTCAAGTCCATTCAATTCGATTTTGTTCCCATTGATTCCATTCCACTCGATTCCATTCCACTCGATTCCATTCCACTTGATTCCACTCTGCTCCTTTCCAATGCATTCCATTCTACTCCATTATATTGAATTCCGTTCCATTCCATTTGATTCCATTCCATTCGATTCCATTCCATTCGATTCCATTCAATGGTATTGTATTCCATTTGATTCCATTCTATTCAAATAAATTCCGCTCGAGGCCATTCCTTTCGACACTATTTATTTCAGTCGATTCCATTGGTGTCCATTACATTTGAGTCCATTCCATTCCATTCGGTTCCGTTCCATTCCGTTCCATTCCATTTCATTCGATGCCATTCGATTCCAATATCTTCCATTGCTTTCCATTCCATTCAAGTCCCTTTCATTCAATACCATTCCCATCGATTCTATTTTATTTGAATCCATTCTATTCCAATCCATTCCATTCCATTCCATTTGATTCCCTTCCTTTCAATTCCATTTCATTCCATTCCATTTCATTCCATTCCATTCGTTTCCATTCCATTTGTGTACATTCCTCTCCAGTCCGTTCTGATCGAGTCCATTCCATTCCAGTGCATTCCATTCGAGTTCATTCCATTCCCTTCCTTTCGATATCATTCAATTACACTCGATGCCTTTCTATTCCTTTTGATTCCATTCAATTCCATTCCATTGGATTCCATTCCTTTTTAGGTCCATTACATTCGAATACATTCCATTCGAGTCCATTCCACTCCATTCCATTCCATTCCTTTCTGTTCCGTTCGATTCTATTCCAGTAGATTCCTTTGCTTTCCATTCCATTCCATTCCATTCCTTGCCATTCCATTTGAATCCATTCCACTCCAGTCCATTCCAATCGAGTCCATTCCATTCGATTGCATTCCATTCCATTTGAATAAATTACATTGCAATATATTACGTTCCTGTCCATTCACTTCCAGTTCATTCCATTCCTGTCCATTCCATTCAATTCCATTCCATTCGATTCGATTCAATAGTATTGCATTCCATTCGATTCCATTCTATTGGAATAAAATCGATTTGACACCTTTCCTTAACAGTCCAATATATTCGCGTCCTTTCCATTCCATTCCATTCCATTTATTCCATTTCATTCGATTCCTTTCCATTGCATTGCCTTCCATTCCATTTGTTTACATTCTATTCGATTCCATTCCATTTGAATCAATTATATTGCAATTTATTGCATTTGAGTCCGTTCAATTGCACTCCATTCCGTTCCATTCCATTCCATTCTATTCCATTCTATTCGATACCATTCCATACTATTGCATTCCATTCAATATCATTCTATTCGAATAAATTACATTCGAGACCGTTTCTTTCCACTTCATTCTCTTTGAGTCCCTTTTATTTGAGTCTATTACTTTTGGGCCCATCCCATTCCAATCCATTTCATTCCATTCCATTCCATTCCATTCCATGCCATGCCATTCCATTCCATGACATTCAATTCCGTTCCATTCCATTCCATTCCATTCCATTCCATTCCATTCCATTCTATGCCATTACATTTCATTCTATTCGATTCGTGTCCATTCCATTCGATTGCATTCCATTCCATTCAAATCCACTCCATTCAATTCTGCTCCAGTCGAATCCATTCCATTCCATTTCGTTCCATTTGATTACATTCCATTCTATTCCTTTCCATTCCATTCCTTTCCAATCCATTCGAGACCATTCCACTCCAATCCATTCCATTCGAGTCCATTCTATTGCGCTCGTTTTCATTTGAGTCCTTTCCATTCCAGTCCATTCCATTCGTGTCCACTCAATTCCATTCCATTATTTTAATATCTTTCCGTTAATCTCCATTCCATTCTATTCATTTCTATTCCATTCAATTCCATTTCATTGGATTCCATTCCTTTCGATTCCGTTACATGTCACTCCATTCCATTCCAGTCCATTCCATTCGCGTACATTCCATTCAATTCCATTCGATATCTTTCGATGAAACTTTATTTCTTTCTACTGTTTTTGACTCCATTCAATTACATTCCAATTCGTTCCATTCCATTCGATTCCATTCCATTCGAATCCATTCCATTCCATTCCATTCCATTCCATTCCATTCCATTCCTTTCCATTCGAATCCAATACACTCAATTCCAATTTATTCCAATGCATTCCATTCGAGTCCATTATATTTACTTCCATTCCATTCTATTCTATTCCATTTGAGTACATTCCATTCGAGTCCATTCCATTCCTTTCTATTCCATTCCATTACATTCCATTCCATCCATTCGATGCCATTCCATTCGATTCTATTCCATTCCTTTCTGTTCCATCTGATTCCATTCTATTCCATTCCATTCAATGCGATTCCTTTCTATTCTATTCCTTTAGTTTCCATTCCATTCAATTCCGTTCCATCCGATTCCATTCCATTCTATTCCTTTCCTTTCAATTCCCTTCCTTTCCTTTCCATTGTTTTCCATTCCATTCGATTCCATTCAACTCTAGTACATTCCATTCGAGTCCATTCCATTCCATTATATTCCTTTCGAGTCCATTCAATTCTTTTCCATTCGATATTTTACCTTTTAACTCCATTGCATTCCATTTCGTTCAATGCCATTCCATTTTATTATATTCCTTTCATGTCGTTTCCATTGGAGTCCGCTCCATTCCTTGCCATTGGATGCCATTCCATTATATTGAATTCCATTCTATTTCTTTCCTTTTGACTACATTCCACTGAAATCCATTGCACTCCATTATACACCGTCCCATTGCATTCCATTCCATTCCATTCCATGGCATTCCTTCCATTACATTTCATTACATTCCATCCGATTCCATTCCATTCCAGTCTATTCCATTCCATTGCGTTACTTTCTATGCCATTCCATGCATTCAATTCCGTTCTACTTGATTACATTCCATTCGATTTCAGTCCTTTCGAATCTAATACATTGTCATCCATTACATTCGAGGCTGTTCTATGTGAGTCCATTCCACTCGGGTCCATTCCATTCGATTCCATTCCATTTGATTCCATGCCACACTGCTGCATTCCATTGAATTCCACTCTTTTCGAATAAATTCCATTCAATACCATTCCCTTCTCTTCCATTCTATTTGTGTCCATTCCATTCGAGTTCATTACGTTTAGTTCCATTCCATTCTATTCTAATCCATTTGAGTACATTCCATTCGAGTCCATTCCATTCCATTCCATTCCATTCGATATCATTCTACACGATTATTTTCCATTCGACTCCATTACATTGCATTCCATTCTATCCGATTCCATTCCATTCTTTACCTTTCCGTTCCTTTCTATTCCATTCCATTCGTATCCATTCCTTTCCATTCCATATCTTTCCATTCGGTGACATTCCAATCCATTCTTTTCCTTTCGCCTCCATTCCATTCCATAGTATTTATTCTACTCCATTCCTTTCCATTGGATTCCATTCGTTTCCGTTCCATTCGTTTTCATTGCACGCCAGTCTATTCCATTCTATTCCATTCCATTCTTGTCCATTCCATTCGATTTCTTTTCGATTCATTCCATTCAATATCTTTCCTTTGCACTCCATTTTGTTCTATTACTTTCAATTCCATTCAATTCCTTTCCTTTCTGTTCCATTGCATTCGACTCCATTCCATTGGAGCCATTCCATTGCATTCCATTCCATTCCATTACATTCTGTTCCATTCCAATCTGGTGCAATCCATTTTATTCCTTTCCACTCCATTCGAGTACAATCCATTCCAGTCCATTCTATTCGAGTCCATTCCTTTCGAGTCCATTCCACTCCAGTCAATTACATTCGACTCCATTTCACTCCAGTCCATTCCATTCGTTTCTGTTGAATTCCATTCCATTCCATTAGGGTCCATTCCATTCCTTTCCAATCCGTTCGATATCTTTCCATTACCTTCCATTCCATTCCATTCCATTCCATTCCATTCTATTCCTTTCCATTCCATTTCATTCCATTCCATTCCAGTCCGTTCTACTCCGATCCAATGGAGACCATTCCATTCCATTCCGTTCCGTTCGATTCCAATCAGTTCGATTCCGTTTTGTCCCTCGTCCATTTCTTTTGAGTCCATTCCATTCCATTTCATTCCATTCGATTCCATTACACTCGATTTCACTCCGTACCTTTCCTATCCTTTGCATTCCATTTTATTCCATTGCATTGAACTCAAATCCCTTCAATTTTATTACATTCCATTCGATTCCATTCCCTTTGAATCAATTACATTGCAATCCATTAAATTCGAGTCTGTTCTCTTCCAGTCCATTCCATTCCCGTCCATTCCATTTGATTCCATTCCGATCGATTCCATTCCACTTCATTCAACTCCATTCCACTCCGTTGCATTCCATGCTATTCCATTCCAGTACAATCCTATCCATTCCATTGGATTCCATTCCATTCAATTCCATTCCATTTGAATGAATTAGAATTCAATCCATTACACTGCAGTCCGTTCTATGGCAGTCCATTCCATACTGGTCCATTCTATTTGATTCCATTACATTCGATTCCATTCCATTCTATTGCATTCCATTCGATTCCATTGTATTGAATAAATTCCATTTGAGACCTTTCCTTTCGATTCCGTTCTATTTGAGTATATTCCTTTCGAGTGCATTACATTTGGGTCCATTCCATTCCATTCAATTCCATTCCATTTAGTATCTTACCATTACACGCCATTCCATCCTATTCTTTTCAATTCCATTGAATTCGTTTCCATTCCATTTGTCTCTTCTCCATTCGAGTCCATTCCATGCCGTTGCATTCCATTCCGTTCGATTCCAATCTGTTCAAATCCATTTTGATCCATTCCATTCCATTGGAGTCCATTACATTCCTGTCCATTCCTTCGTCTCCATTCCATTAAATTCCATTCCATTCCATTATATTCAATATCATCCCTTTACACTCCATTCCTTTCTATTATTTTTGATTCCATTCACTTGCAATCCATTTGATTACATTCCATTCTATTCCTTTACATTCCTCTCTACTCCAGTCGAGTACATTTCATTCCATTCCATTCTGTTCGACTCCAATCCATTTGATTCAATTTGGTTGGACTCCATTCCTTTCGAGTCCATTCCTTTTGAGTCCACTCCATTCCATTCCATTCCTTTTGATGACACTCTATTCGACTCCATTTCATGAAACTCCATTCCATTCCATTCTGTCCAATCGGATTCCATAACATTCTATTCCTTTCCATTCCATTCCGTTCCATTCTTTTCATTCCATTCGATTCCATTCCACTCCAGTCCATTCCATTGGAGACCATTCCATTCCAATCCATTTCTTTCCACTCCATTCCTTTCCATTCAATTCCTTTCCATTCCATTTCATTCCAATCGATATCTTTCCATTACTCTCAATTCCATTCTCTTCCTTTCTGTTCCATTCCATTGCATTCCATTTCAATCCATTCCATTCGATGCGTTTGCATTTGACTCCATTCCATTCGTGTCCATTCCATCCCATTCCTGTCCATTTGATTCCTTTTTGTTCCAGTCCATTTCTTTCGAGTCAATTCCTTTCGAGTCAATTCCATTCAAGTCCATTCAATTCGATTTTGTTCCCATTGATTCCATTCCACTCGATTCCATTCCACTCGATTCCATTCCACTTGATTCCACTCTGCTCCTTTCCAATGCATTCCATTCTACTCCATTATATTGAATTCCGTTCCATTCCATTTGATTCCATTCCATTCGATTCCATTCCATTCGATTCCATTCAATGGTATTGTATTCCATTTGATTCCATTCTATTCAAATAAATTCCGCTCGAGGCCATTCCTTTCGACACTATTATATTTCAGTCGATTCCATTGGTGTCCATTACATTTGAGTCCATTCCATTCCATTCGGTTCCGTTCCATTCCGTTCCATTCCATTTCATTCGATGCCATTCGATTCCAATATCTTCCATTGCTTTCCATTCCATTCAAGTCCCTTTCATTCAATACCATTCCCATCGATTCTATTTTATTTGAATCCATTCTATTCCAATCCATTCCATTCCATTCCATTTGATTCCCTTCCTTTCAATTCCATTTCATTCCATTCCATTTCATTCCATTCCATTCGTTTCCATTCCATTTGTGTACATTCCTCTCCAGTCCGTTCTGATCGAGTCCATTCCATTCCAGTGCATTCCATTCGAGTTCATTCCATTCCCTTCCTTTCGATATCATTCAATTACACTCGATGCCTTTCTATTCCTTTTGATTCCATTCAATTCCATTCCATTGGATTCCATTCCTTTTTAGGTCCATTACATTCGAATACATTCCATTCGAGTCCATTCCACTCCATTCCATTCCATTCCTTTCTGTTCCGTTCGATTCTATTCCAGTAGATTCCTTTGCTTTCCATTCCATTCCATTCCATTCCTTGCCATTCCATTTGAATCCATTCCACTCCAGTCCATTCCAATCGAGTCCATTCCATTCGATTGCATTCCATTCCATTTGAATAAATTACATTGCAATATATTACGTTCCTGTCCATTCACTTCCAGTTCATTCCATTCCTGTCCATTCCATTCAATTCCATTCCATTCGATTCGATTCAATAGTATTGCATTCCATTCGATTCCATTCTATTGGAATAAATTCGATTTGACACCTTTCCTTAACAGTCCAATATATTCGCGTCCTTTCCATTCCATTCCATTCCATTTATTCCATTTCATTCGATTCCTTTCCATTGCATTGCCTTCCATTCCATTTGTTTACATTCTATTCGATTCCATTCCATTTGAATCAATTATATTGCAATTTATTTCATTTGAGTCCGTTCAATTGCACTCCATTCCGTTCCATTCCATTCCATTCTATTCCATTCTATTCGATACCATTCCATACTATTGCATTCCATTCAATATCATTCTATTCGAATAAATTACATTCGAGACCGTTTCTTTCCACTTCATTCTCTTTGAGTCCCTTTTATTTGAGTCTATTACTTTTGGGCCCATCCCATTCCAATCCATTTCATTCCATTCCATTCCATTCCATTCCATGCCATGCCATTCCATTCCATGACATTCAATTCCGTTCCATTCCATTCCATTCCATTCCATTCCATTCCATTCCATTCCATTCTATGCCATTACATTTCATTCTATTCGATTCGTGTCCATTCCATTCGATTGCATTCCATTCCATTCAAATCCACTCCATTCAATTCTGCTCCAGTCGAATCCATTCCATTCCATTTCGTTCCATTTGATTACATTCCATTCTATTCCTTTCCATTCCATTCCTTTCCAATCCATTCGAGACCATTCCACTCCAATCCATTCCATTCGAGTCCATTCTATTGCGCTCGTTTTCATTTGAGTCCTTTCCATTCCAGTCCATTCCATTCGTGTCCACTCAATTCCATTCCATTATTTTAATATCTTTCCGTTAATCTCCATTCCATTCTATTCATTTCTATTCCATTCAATTCCATTTCATTGGATTCCATTCCTTTCGATTCCGTTACATGTCACTCCATTCCATTCCAGTCCATTCCATTCGCGTACATTCCATTCAATTCCATTCGATATCTTTCGATGAAACTTTATTTCTTTCTACTGTTTTTGACTCCATTCAATTACATTCCAATTCGTTCCATTCCATTCGATTCCATTCCATTCGAATCCATTCCATTCCATTCCATTCCATTCCATTCCATTCCATTCCTTTCCATTCGAATCCAATACACTCAATTCCAATTTATTCCAATGCATTCCATTCGAGTCCATTATATTTACTTCCATTCCATTCTATTCTATTCCATTTGAGTACATTCCATTCGAGTCCATTCCATTCCTTTCTATTCCATTCCATTACATTCCATTCCATCCATTCGATGCCATTCCATTCGATTCTATTCCATTCCTTTCTGTTCCATCTGATTCCATTCTATTCCATTCCATTCAATGCGATTCCTTTCTATTCTATTCCTTTAGTTTCCATTCCATTCAATTCCGTTCCATCCGATTCCATTCCATTCTATTCCTTTCCTTTCAATTCCCTTCCTTTCCTTTCCATTGTTTTCCATTCCATTCGATTCCATTCAACTCTAGTACATTCCATTCGAGTCCATTCCATTCCATTATATTCCTTTCGAGTCCATTCAATTCTTTTCCATTCGATATTTTACCTTTTAACTCCATTGCATTCCATTTCGTTCAATGCCATTCCATTTTATTATATTCCTTTCATGTCGTTTCCATTGGAGTCCGCTCCATTCCTTGCCATTGGATGCCATTCCATTATATTGAATTCCATTCTATTTCTTTCCTTTTGACTACATTCCACTGAAATCCATTGCACTCCATTATACACCGTCCCATTGCATTCCATTCCATTCCATTCCATGGCATTCCTTCCATTACATTTCATTACATTCCATCCGATTCCATTCCATTCCAGTCTATTCCATTCCATTGCGTTACTTTCTATGCCATTCCATGCATTCAATTCCGTTCTACTTGATTACATTCCATTCGATTTCAGTCCTTTCGAATCTAATACATTGTCATCCATTACATTCGAGGCTGTTCTATGTGAGTCCATTCCACTCGGGTCCATTCCATTCGATTCCATTCCATTTGATTCCATGCCACACTGCTGCATTCCATTGAATTCCACTCTTTTCGAATAAATTCCATTCAATACCATTCCCTTCTCTTCCATTCTATTTGTGTCCATTCCATTCGAGTTCATTACGTTTAGTTCCATTCCATTCTATTCTAATCCATTTGAGTACATTCCATTCGAGTCCATTCCATTCCATTCCATTCCATTCGATATCATTCTACACGATTATTTTCCATTCGACTCCATTACATTGCATTCCATTCTATCCGATTCCATTCCATTCTTTACCTTTCCGTTCCTTTCTATTCCATTCCATTCGTATCCATTCCTTTCCATTCCATATCTTTCCATTCGGTGACATTCCAATCCATTCTTTTCCTTTCGCCTCCATTCCATTCCATAGTATTTATTCTACTCCATTCCTTTCCATTGCATTCCATTCGTTTCCGTTCCATTCGTTTTCATTGCACGCCAGTCTATTCCATTCTATTCCATTCCATTCTTGTCCATTCCATTCGATTTCTTTTCGATTCATTCCATTCAATATCTTTCCTTTGCACTCCATTTTGTTCTATTACTTTCAATTCCATTCAATTCCTTTCCTTTCTGTTCCATTGCATTCGACTCCATTCCATTGGAGCCATTCCATTGCATTCCATTCCATTCCATTACATTCTGTTCCATTCCAATCTGGTGCAATCCATTTTATTCCTTTCCACTCCATTCGAGTACAATCCATTCCAGTCCATTCTATTCGAGTCCATTCCTTTCGAGTCCATTCCACTCCAGTCAATTACATTCGACTCCATTTCACTCCAGTCCATTCCATTCGTTTCTGTTGAATTCCATTCCATTCCATTAGGGTCCATTCCATTCCTTTCCAATCCGTTCGATATCTTTCCATTACCTTCCATTCCATTCCATTCCATTCTATTCCTTTCCATTCCATTTCATTCCATTCCATTCCAGTCCGTTCTACTCCGATCCAATGGAGACCATTCCATTCCATTCCGTTCCGTTCGATTCCAATCAGTTCGATTCCGTTTTGTCCCTCGTCCATTTCTTTTGAGTCCATTCCATTCCATTTCATTCCATTCGATTCCATTACACTCGATTTCACTCCGTACCTTTCCTATCCTTTGCATTCCATTTTATTCCATTGCATTGAACTCAAATCCCTTCAATTTTATTACATTCCATTCGATTCCATTCCCTTTGAATCAATTACATTGCAATCCATTAAATTCGAGTCTGTTCTCTTCCAGTCCATTCCATTCCCGTCCATTCCATTTGATTCCATTCCGATCGATTCCATTCCACTTCATTCAACTCCATTCCACTCCGTTGCATTCCATGCTATTCCATTCCAGTACAATCCTATCCATTCCATTGGATTCCATTCCATTCAATTCCATTCCATTTGAATGAATTAGAATTCAATCCATTACACTGCAGTCCGTTCTATGGCAGTCCGTTCCATACTGGTCCATTCTATTTGATTCCATTACATTCGATTCCATTCCATTCTATTGCATTCCATTCGATTCCATTGTATTGAATAAATTCCATTTGAGACCTTTCCTTTCGATTCCGTTCTATTTGAGTATATTCCTTTCGAGTGCATTACATTTGGGTCCATTCCATTCCATTCAATTCCATTCCATTTAGTATCTTACCATTACACGCCATTCCATCCTATTCTTTTCAATTCCATTGAATTCGTTTCCATTCCATTTGTCTCTTCTCCATTCGAGTCCATTCCATGCCGTTGCATTCCATTCCGTTCGATTCCAATCTGTTCAAATCCATTTTGATCCATTCCATTCCATTGGAGTCCATTACATTCCTGTCCATTCCTTCGTCTCCATTCCATTAAATTCCATTCCATTCCATTACATTCAATATCATCCCTTTACACTCCATTCCTTTCTATTATTTTTGATTCCATTCACTTGCAATCCATTTGATTACATTCCATTCTATTCCTTTACATTCCTCTCTACTCCAGTCGAGTACATTTCATTCCATTCCATTCTGTTCGACTCCAATCCATTTGATTCAATTTGGTTGGACTCCATTCCTTTCGAGTCCATTCCTTTTGAGTCCACTCCATTCCATTCCATTCCTTTTGATGACACTCTATTCGACTCCATTTCATGAAACTCCATTCCATTCCATTCTGTCCAATCGGATTCCATAATATTCTATTCCTTTCCATTCCATTCCGTTCCATTCTTTTCATTCCATTCGATTCCATTCCACTCCAGTCCATTCCATTGGAGACCATTCCATTCCAATCCATTTCTTTCCACTCCATTCCTTTCCATTCAATTCCTTTCCATTCCATTTCATTCCAATCGATATCTTTCCATTACTCTCAATTCCATTCTCTTCCTTTCTGTTCCATTCCATTGCATTCCATTTCAATCCATTCCATTCGATGCGTTTGCATTTGACTCCATTCCATTCGTGTCCATTCCATCCCATTCCTGTCCATTTGATTCCTTTTTGTTCCAGTCCATTTCTTTCGAGTCAATTCCTTTCGAGTCAATTCCATTCAAGTCCATTCAATTCGATTTTGTTCCCATTGATTCCATTCCACTCGATTCCATTCCACTCGATTCCATTCCACTTGATTCCACTCTGCTCCTTTCCAATGCATTCCATTCTACTCCATT
Organism: Homo sapiens; assembly: GCF_000001405.40. NCBI lineage: Eukaryota > Metazoa > Chordata > Mammalia > Primates > Hominidae > Homo > Homo sapiens. The sequence goes on along the minus strand of NC_000024.10, from coordinate 11,568,637 downwards.
ATATTGAATTCCGTTCCATTCCATTTGATTCCATTCCATTCGATTCCATTCCATTCGATTCCATTCAATGGTATTGTATTCCATTTGATTCCATTCTATTCAAATAAATTCCGCTCGAGGCCATTCCTTTCGACACTATTATATTTCAGTCGATTCCATTGGTGTCCATTACATTTGAGTCCATTCCATTCCATTCGGTTCCGTTCCATTCCGTTCCATTCCATTTCATTCGATGCCATTCGATTCCAATATCTTCCATTGCTTTCCATTCCATTCAAGTCCCTTTCATTCAATACCATTCCCATCGATTCTATTTTATTTGAATCCATTCTATTCCAATCCATTCCATTCCATTCCATTTGATTCCCTTCCTTTCAATTCCATTTCATTCCATTCCATTTCATTCCATTCCATTCGTTTCCATTCCATTTGTGTACATTCCTCTCCAGTCCGTTCTGATCGAGTCCATTCCATTCCAGTGCATTCCATTCGAGTTCATTCCATTCCCTTCCTTTCGATATCATTCAATTACACTCGATGCCTTTCTATTCCTTTTGATTCCATTCAATTCCATTCCATTGGATTCCATTCCTTTTTAGGTCCATTACATTCGAATACATTCCATTCGAGTCCATTCCACTCCATTCCATTCCATTCCTTTCTGTTCCGTTCGATTCTATTCCAGTAGATTCCTTTGCTTTCCATTCCATTCCATTCCATTCCTTGCCATTCCATTTGAATCCATTCCACTCCAGTCCATTCCAATCGAGTCCATTCCATTCGATTGCATTCCATTCCATTTGAATAAATTACATTGCAATATATTACGTTCCTGTCCATTCACTTCCAGTTCATTCCATTCCTGTCCATTCCATTCAATTCCATTCCATTCGATTCGATTCAATAGTATTGCATTCCATTCGATTCCATTCTATTGGAATAAATTCGATTTGACACCTTTCCTTAACAGTCCAATATATTCGCCTCCTTTCCATTCCATTCCATTCCATTTATTCCATTTCATTCGATTCCTTTCCATTGCATTGCCTTCCATTCCATTTGTTTACATTCTATTCGATTCCATTCCATTTGAATCAATTATATTGCAATTTATTGCATTTGAGTCCGTTCAATTGCACTCCATTCCGTTCCATTCCATTCTATTCCATTCTATTCGATACCATTCCATACTATTGCATTCCATTCAATATCATTCTATTCGAATAAATTACATTCGAGACCGTTTCTTTCCACTTCATTCTCTTTGAGTCCCTTTTATTTGAGTCTATTACTTTTGGGCCCATCCCATTCCAATCCATTTCATTCCATTCCATTCCATTCCATTCCATGCCATGCCATTCCATTCCATGACATTCAATTCCGTTCCATTCCATTCCATTCCATTCCATTCCATTCCATTCCATTCCATTCCATTCTATGCCATTTCATTTCATTCTATTCGATTCGTGTCCATTCCATTCGATTGCATTCCATTCCATTCAAATCCACTCCATTCAATTCTGCTCCAGTCGAATCCATTCCATTCCATTTCGTTCCATTTGATTACATTCCATTCTATTCCTTTCCATTCCATTCCTTTCCAATCCATTCGAGACCATTCCACTCCAATCCATTCCATTCGAGTCCATTCTAATGCGCTCGTTTTCATTTGAGTCCTTTCCATTCCAGTCCATTCCATTCGTGTCCACTCAATTCCATTCCATTATTTTAATATCTTTCCGTTAATCTCCATTCCATTCTATTCATTTCTATTCCATTCAATTCCATTTCATTGGATTCCATTCCTTTCGATTCCGTTACATGTCACTCCATTCCATTACAGTCCATTCCATTCGCGTACATTCCATTCAATTCCATTCGATATCTTTCGATGAAACTTTATTTCTTTCTACTGTTTTTGACTCCATTCAATTACATTCCAATTCGTTCCATTCCATTCGATTCCATTCCATTCGAATCCATTCCATTCCATTCCATTCCATTCCATTCCATTCCTTTCCATTCGAATCCAATACACTCAATTCCAATTTATTCCAATGCATTCCATTCGAGTCCATTATATTTACTTCCATTCCATTCTATTCTATTCCATTTGAGGACATTCCATTCGAGTCCATTCCATTCCTTTCTATTCCATTCCATTACATTTCATTCCATCCATTCGATGCCATTCCATTCGATTCTATTCCATTCCTTTCTGTTCCATCTGATTCCATTCTATTCCATTCCATTCAATGCGATTCCTTTCTATTCTATTCCTTTAGTTTCCATTCCATTCAATTCCGTTCCATCCGATTCCATTCCATTCTATTCCTTTCCTTTCAATTCCCTTCCTTTCCTTTCCATTGTTTTCCATTCCATTCGATTCCATTCAACTCTAGTACATTCCATTCGAGTCCATTCCATTCCATTATATTCCTTTCGAGTCCATTCAATTCTTTTCCATTCGATATTTTACCTTTTAACTCCATTACATTCCATTTCGTTCAATGCCATTCCATTTTATTATATTCCTTTCATGTCGTTTCCATTGGAGTCTGCTCCATTCCTTGCCATTGGATGCCATTCCATTATATTGAATTCCATTCTATTTCTTTCCTTTTGACTACATTCCACTGAAATCCATTGCACTCCATTATACACCGTCCCATTGCATTCCATTCCATTCCATTCCATGGCATTCCTTCCATTACATTTCATTACATTCCATCCGATTCCATTCCATTCCAGTCTATTCCATTCCATTGCGTTACTTTCTATGCCATTCCATGCATTCAATTCCGTTCTACTTGATTACATTCCATTCGATTTCAGTCCTTTCGAATCTAATACATTGTCATCCATTACATTCGAGGCTGTTCTATGTGAGTCCATTCCACTCGGGTCCATTCCATTCGATTCCATTCCATTTGATTCCATGCCACACTGTTGCATTCTATTGAATTCCACTCTATTCGAATAAATTCCATTCAATACCATTCCTTTCTCTTCCATTCTATTTGTGTCCATTCCATTCGAGTTCATTACGTTTAGTTCCATTCCATTCTATTCTAATCCATTTGAGTACATTCCATTCGAGTCCATTCCATTCCATTCCATTCCATTCGATATCATTCTACACGATTATTTTCCATTCGACTCCATTACATTGCATTCCATTCTATCCGATTCCATTCCATTCTTTACCTTTCCGTTCCTTTCTATTCCATTCCATTCGTATCCATTCCTTTCCATTCCATATCTTTCCATTCGGTGACATTCCAATCCATTCTTTTCCTTTCGCCTCCATTCCATTCCATAGTATTTATTCTACTCCATTCCTTTCCATTGCATTAAATTCGTTTCCATTCCATTCGTTTTCATTGCACGCCAGTCTATTCCATTCTATTCCATTCCATTCCTGTCCATTCCATTCGATTTCTTTTCGATCCATTCCATTCAATATCTTTCCTTTGCACTCCATTTTGTTCTATTACTTTCAATTCCATTCAATTCCTTTCCTTTCTGTTCCACTGCATTCGACTCCATTCCATTGGAGCTATTCCATTGCATTCCATTCCATTCCATTACATTCTGTTCCATTCCAATCTGGTGGAATCCATTGTATTCCTTTCCACTCCATTCGAGTACAATCCATTCCAGTCCATTCTATTCGAGTCCATTCCTTTCGAGTCCATTCCACTCCAGTCAATTACATTCGACTCCATTTCACTCCAGTCCATTCCATTAGTTTCTGTTGAATTCCATTCCATTCCATTAGGGTCCATTCCATTCCTTTCCAATCCGTTCGATATCTTTCCATTACCTTCCATTCCATTCCATTCCATTCCATTCCATTCTATTCTGTTCCATTCCATTTCATTCCATTCCATTCCAGTCCGTTCTCCTCCGATCCAATGGAGACCATTCCATTCCACTCCGTTCCGTTCGATTCCAATCAGTTCGATTCCGTTTTGTGCCTCGTCCATTTCTTTCGAGTCTATTCCATTCCATTTCATTCCATTCGATTCCATTACACTCGATTTCACTCCGTACCTTTCCTGTCCTTTGCATTCCATTCTATTCCATTGCATTGAACTCAAATCCCTTCAATTTTATTACATTCCATTCGATTCCATTCCATTTGAATCAATTACATTGCAATCCATTAAATTCGAGTCTGTTCTCTTCCAGTCCATTCCATTCCCGTCCATTCCATTTGATTCCATTCCAATCGATTCCATTCCACTTCATTCAACTCCATTCCACTCCGTTGCATTCCATGCTATTCCATTCCAGTACAATCCTATCCATTCCATTGGATTCCATTCCATTCAATTCCATTCCATTTGAATGAATTAGAATTCAATCCATTACACTGCAGTCCGTTCTATGGCAGTCCATTCCATTCTGGTCCATTCTATTTGATTCCATTACATTCGATTCCATTCCATTCTATTGCATTCCATTCGATTCCATTGTATTGAATAAATTCCATTTGAGACCTTTCCTTTCGATTCCATTCTATTTGAGTATATTCCTTTCGAGTGCATTACATTTGGGTCCATTCCATTCCATTCAATTCCATTCCATTTAGTATCTTACCATTACACGCCATTCCATCCTATTCTTTTCAATTCCATTGAATTCGTTTCCATTCCATTTGTCTCTTCTCCATTCGAGTCCATTCCATTCCATTGCATTCCATTCCGTTCGATTCCAATCTGTTCAAATCCATTTTCATCCATACCATTCCATTGGAGTCCATTACATTCCTGTCCATTCCTTCGACTCCATTCCATTAAATTCCATTCCATTCCATTATATTCAATATCATCCCTTTACACTCCATTCCTTTCTATTATTTTTGATTCCATTCACTTGCAATCCATTTGATTACATTCCATTCTATTCCTTTACATTCCTCTCTACTCCAGTCGAGTTCATTCCATTCCATTCCATTCTGTTCGACTCCAATCCATTTGATTCAATTTGGTTGGACTCCATTCCTTTCGAGTCCATTCCTTTTGAGTCCACTCCATTCCATTCCATTCCTTTTGATGCCACTCTATTCGACTCCATTTCATGAAACTCCATTCCATTCCATTCTGTCCAATCGGATTCCATAACATTCTATTCCTTTCCGTTCCATTCCGTTCCATTCTTTTCATTCCATTAGATTCCATTCCACTCCAGTCCATTCCATTGGAGACCATTCCATTCCAATCCATTTCTTTCCACTCCCTTCCTTTCCATTCAATTCCTTTCCATTCCATTTCATTCCAATCGATATCTTTCCATTACTCTCAATTCCATTCTCTTCCTTTCTCTTCCATTCCATTGCATTCCATTTGAATCCATTCCATTCGATGCGTTTGCATTTGACTCCATTCCATTCGTGTCCATTCCATCCCATTCCTGTCCATTTGATTCCTTTTTGTTCCAGTCCATTCCTTTCGAGTCAATTCCATTCAAGTCCATTCAATTCGATTTTGTTCCCATTGATTCCATTCCACTCGATTCCATTCCACTTGATTCCAGTCTGCTCCTTTCCAATGCATTCCATTCTACTCCATTATATTGAATTCCGTTCCATTCCATTTGATTCCATTCCATTCGATTCCATTCCATTCGATTCCATTCAATGGTTTTGTATTCCATTTTATTCCATTCTATTCAAATAAATTCCGCTCGTGGCCATTCCTTTCGACACTATTATATTTCAGTCGATTCCATTGGTGTCCATTACATTTGAGTCCATTCCATTCCATTCGGTTCCGTTCCATTCCGTTCCATTCCATTTCATTCGATGCCATTCGATTCCAATATCTTCCATTGCTTTCCATTCCATTCAAGTCCCTTTCATTCAATACCATTCCCATCGATTCTCTTTTATTTGAATCCATTCTATTCCAATCCATTCCATTCCATTCCATTCCATTTGATTCTGTTCCTTTCAATTCCATTTCATTCCATTCCATTTCATTCCATTCCATTCGTTTCCATTCCATTTGTGTACATTCCTCTCCAGTCCGTTCTGATCGAGTCCATTCCATTCCAGTGCATTCCATTCGAGTTCATTCCATTCCCTTCCTTTCGATATCATTCAATTACACTCTATTCCTTTCTATTCCTTTTGATTCCATTCAATTCCATTCCATTGGATTCCATTCCTTTTTAGGTCCATTACATTCGAATACATTCCATTCGAGTCCATTCCACTCCATTCCATTCCATTCCTTTCTGTTCCGTTCGATTCTATTCCAGTAGATTCCTTTGCTTTCCATTCCATTCCATTCCATTCCTTGCCATTCCATTTGAGTCCATTCCACTCCAGTCCATTCCAATCGAGTCCATTCCATTCGATTGCATTCCATTCCATTTGAATAAATTACATTGTAATATATTACGTTCCTGTCCATTCACTTCCAGTTCATTCCATTCCTGCCCATTCCATTCAATTCCATTCCATTCGATTCGATTCAACAGTATTGCATTCCATTCGATTCCATTCTATTGGAATAAATTCGATTTGACACCTTTCCTTAACAGTCCAATATATTCGCGTCCTTTCCATTCCATTCCATTCCATTTATTCCATTTCATTCGATTCCTTTCCATTGCATTGCCTTCCATTCCATTTGTTTACATTCTATTCAATTCCATTCCATTTGAATCAATTATATTGCAATTTATTGCATTTGAGTCGGTTCAATTGGACTCCATTCCGTTCCATTCCATTCCATTCTATTCCATTCTATTCGATACCATTCCATACTATTGCATTCCATTCAATATCATTCCATTCGAATACATTACATTCGAGACCGTTTCTTTCCACTTCATTCTATTTGAGTTCCTTTTATTTGAGTCTATTACTTTTGGGCCCATCCCATTCCAATCCATTTCATTCCATTCCATTCCATTCCATTCCATGCCATGCCATTCCATTCCATGCCATTCCATTCCGTTCCATTTAATTCCATTCCATTCCATCCCATTCCATTCCATTCCATTCCATTCCATTCCATTCCATTCTATGCCATTTCATTTCATTCTATTTGATTCGTGTCCATTCCATTCGATTGCATCCCATTCCATTCAATTCCACTCCATTCAATTCTGCTCCGGTCGAATCCATTCCATTCCATTTCGTTCCATTTGATTACATTCCATTCTATTCCTTTCCATTCCATTCCTTTCCAATCCATTCGAGACCATTCCACTCCAATCCATTCCATTCCAGTCCGTTCTAATGCGCTCCATTTCATTCGAGTCCTTTCCATTCCAGTCCATTCCATTCGTGTCCACTCAATTCCATTCCATTATTTTAATATCTTTCCATTCATCTCCATTCCATTCTATTCATTTCTATTCCATTCAATTCCATTTCATTGGATTCCATTCCTATCGATTCCGTTACATGTCACTCCATTCCATTCCAGTCCATTCCATTCGCGTACATTCCATTCAATTCCATTCGATATCATTTGATGAAACTTTATTTATCTCTACTGTTTTTGACTCCATTCAATTACATTCCAATTCGCTCCATTACATTCGATTCCATTCCATTCGAATCCATTCCATTCCATTCCATTCCATTCCATTCCATTCCATTCCTTTCCATTCGAATCCAATACACTCAATTCCAATTTATTCCAATGCATTCCATTCGAGTCCATTATATTTACTTCCATTCCATTCTATTCTATTCCATTTGAGGACATTCCATTCGAGTCCATTCCATTCCTTTCTATTCCATTCCATTACATTTCATTCCATCCATTCGATGCCATTCCATTCGATTCTATTCCATTCCTTTCTGTTCCATCTGATTCCATTCTATTCCATTCCATTCAATGCGATTCCTTTCTATTCTATTCCTTTAGTTTCCATTCCATTCAATTCCGTTCCATCCGATTCCATTCCATTCTATTCCTTTCCTTTCAATTCCCTTCCTTTCCTTTCCATTGTTTTCCATTCCATTCGATTCCATTCAACTCTAGTACATTCCATTCGAGTCCATTCCATTCCATTATATTCCTTTCGAGTCCATTCAATTCTTTTCCATTCGATATTTTACCTTTTAACTCCATTGCATTCCATTTCGTTCAATGCCATTCCATTTTATTATATTCCTTTCATGTCGTTTCCATTGGAGTCTGCTCCATTCCTTGCCATTGGATGCCATTCCATTATATTGAATTCCATTCTATTTCTTTCCTTTTGACTACATTCCACTGAAATCCATTGCACTCCATTATACACCGTCCCATTGCATTCCATTCCATTCCATTCCATGGCATTCCTTCCATTACATTTCATTACATTCCATCCGATTCCATTCCATTCCAGTCTATTCCATTCCATTGCGTTACTTTCTATGCCATTCCATGCATTCAATTCCGTTCTACTTGATTACATTCCATTCGATTTCAGTCCTTTCGAATCTAATACATTGTCATCCATTACATTCGAGGCTGCTCTATGTGAGTCCATTCCACTCGGGTCCATTCCATTCGATTCCATTCCATTTGATTCCATGCCACACTGTTGCATTCCATTCAATCCCACTCTATTCGAATAAATTCCATTCAATACCATTCCTTTCTCTTCCATTCTATTTGTGTCCATTCCATTCGAGTTCATTACGTTTAGTTCCATTCCATTCTATTCTAATCCATTTGAGTACATTCCATTCGAGTCCATTCCATTCAATTCCATTCCATTCGATATCATTCTACACGATTATTTTCCATTCGACTCCATTACATTGCATTCCATTCTATCCGATTCCATTCCATTCTTTACCTTTCCGTTCCTTTCTATTCCATTCCATTCGTATCCATTCCTTTCCATTCCATATCTTTCCATTCGGTGACATTCCAATCTATTCTTTTCCTTTCGCCTCCATTCCATTCCATAGTATTTATTCTACTCCATTCCTTTCCATTGCATTCCATTCGTTTCCATTCCACTCGTTTTCACTGCACGCCAGTCTATTCCATTCTATTCCATTCCATTCCTGACCATTCCATTCGATTTCTTTTGAATCCATTCCATTCAATATCTTTCCTTTGCACTCCATTATGTTCTATTACTTTCAATTCCATTCAATTCCTTTCCTTTCTGTTCCATTGCATTCGACTCCATTCCATTGGAGCTATTCCATTGCATTCCATTCCATTCCATTACATTCTGTTCCATTCCAATCTGGTGGAATCCATTTTATTCCTTTCCACTCCATTCGAGTACAATCCATTCCAGTCCATTCTATTCGAGTCCATTCCTTTCGAGTCCATTCCACTCCAGTCAATTACATTCGACTCCATTTCACTCCAGTCCATTCCATTCGTTTCTGTTGAATTCCATTCCATTCCATTAGGGTCCATTCCATTCTTTTCCAATCCGTTCGATATCTTTCCATTACCTTCCATTCCATTCCATTCCATTCCATTCCATTCCATTCTATTCCTTTCCATTCCTTTTCATTCCATTCCATTCCAGTCCGTTCTACTCCGATCCAATGGAGACCATTCCATTCCATTCCGTTCGATTCCAATCAGTTCGATTCCGTTTTGTCCCTCTTCCTTTTCTTTTGAGTCCATTCCATTCGATTTCATTCCATTCGATTCCATTACACTCGATTTCACTCCGTACCTTTCCTTTCCTTTGCATTCCATTCTATTCCATTGCATTGAACTCAAATCCCTTCAATTTTATTACATTCCATTCGATTCCATTCCATTTGAATCAATTAAATTGCAATCCATTAAATTCGAGTCTGTTCTCTTCCAGTCCATTCCATTCCCGTCCATTCCATTTGATTCCATTCCAATCGATTCCATTCCACTTCATTCAACTCCATTCCACTCCGTTGCATTCCATGCTATTCCATTCCAGTACAATCCTATCCATTCCATTGGATTCCATTCCATTCAATTCCATTCCATTTGAATGAATTAGAATTCAATCAATTACACTGCAGTCCGTTCTATGGCAGTCCATTCCATTCTGGTCCATTCTATTTGATTCCATTACATTCGATTCCTTTCCATTCTATTGCATTCCATTCGATTCCATTTTATTGAATAAATTCCATTTGAGACCTTTCCTTTCGATTCCATTCTATTTGAGTGTATTCCTTTCGAGTGCATTACATTTGGGTCCATTCCATTCCATTCAATTCCATTCCATTTAGTATCTTACCATTACACGCCATTCCATCCTATTCTTTTCAATTCCATTGAATTCGTTTCCATTCCATTTGTCTCTTCTCCATTCGAGTCCATTCCATTCCATTGCATTCCATTCCGTTCGATTCCAATCTGTTCAAATCCATTTTGATCCATTCCATTCCATTGGAGTCCATTACATTCCTGTCCATTCCTTCGTCTCCATTCCATTAAATTCCATTCCATTCCATTATATTCAATATCATCCCTTTAAACTCCATTCCTATTATTTTTGATTCCATTCACTTGCAGTCCATTTGATTACATTCCATTCTATTCCTTTACATTCCTCTCTACTCCAGTCGAGTTCATTCCATTCCATTCCATTCTGTTCGACTCCAATCCATTTAATTCAATTTGGTTGGACTTCATTCCTTTCGAGTCCATTCCTTTTGAGTCCACTCCATTCCATTCCATTCCTTTTGATGCCACTCTATTCGACTCCATTTCATGAAACTCCATTCCATTCCATTCTGTCCAATCGGATTCCATAACATTCTATTCTTTCCGTTCCATTCCGTTCCATTCTTTTCCTTCCATTCGATTCCATTCCACTCCAGTCCATTCCAATGGAGACCATTCCATTCCAATCCATTTCTTTCCACTCCATTCCTTTCCATTCAATTCCTTTCCATTCCATTTCATTCCAATCGATATCTTTCCATTACTCTCAATTCCATTCTCTTCCTTTCTGTTCCATTCCATTGCATTCCATTTGAATCCATTCCATTCGATGCGTTTGCATTTGACTCCATTCCATTCGTGTCCATTCCATCCCATTCCTGTCCATTTGATTCCTTTTTGTTCCAGTCCATTCCTTTCGAGTCAATTCCTTTCGAGTCAATTCCATTCAAGTCCATTCAATTCGATTTTGTTCCCATTGATTCCATTCCACTCGATTCCATTCCACTCGATGCCATTCCACTTGATTCCAGTCTGCTCCTTTCCAATGCATTCCATTCTACTCCATTATATTGAATTCCGTTCCATTCCATTTGATTACATTCCATTCGATTCCATTCCATTCGATTCCATTCAATGGTATTGTATTCCAATTGATTCCATTCTATTCAAATAAATTCCGCTCGAGGCCATTCCTTTCGACACTATTATATTTCAGTCGATTCCATTGGTGTCCATCACATTTGAGTCCATTCCATTCCATTCGGTTCCTTTCCATTCAAGTCCCTTTCATTCAATACCATTCCCATCGATTCTATTTTATTTGAATCCATTCTATTCCAATCCATTCCATTCCATTCCATTCCATTTGATTCCGTTCCTTTCAATTCCATTTCATTCCATTCCATTTCATTCCATTCCATTCGTTTCCATTCCATTTGTGTACATTCCTCTCCAGTCCGTTCTGATCGAGTCCATTCCATTCCAGTGCATTCCATTCGAGTTCATTCTATTCCCTTCCATTCGATATCATTCAATTACACTCTATTCCTTTCTATTCCTTTTGATTCCATTCAATTCCATTCCATTGGATTCCATTCCTTTTTAGGTCCATTACATTCGAATACATTCCATTCGAGTCCATTCCACTCCATTCCATTCCATTCCTTTCTGTTCCGTTCGATTCTATTCCAGTAGATTCCTTTGCTTTCCATTCCATTCCATTCCATTCCTTGCCATTCCATTTGAGTACATTCCACTCCAGTCCATTCCAATCGAGTCCATTCCATTCGATTGCATTCCATTCCATTTGAATAAATTACATTGCAATATATTACGTTCCTGTCCATTCACTTCCAGTTCATTCCATTCCTGTCCATTCCATTCAATTCCATTCCATTCGATTCGATTCAATAGTATTGCATTCCATTCGATTCCATTCTATTGGAATAAATTCGATTTGACACCTTTCCTTAACAGTCCAATATATTCGCGTCCTTTCCATTCCATTCCATTCCATTCCATTTATTCCATTTCATTCGATTCCTTTCCATTGCATTGCCTTCCATTCCATTTGTTTACATTCTATTCAATTCCATTCCATTTGAATCAATTATATTGCAATTTATTGCATTTGAGTCGGTTCAATTGCACTCCATTCCGTTCCATTCCATTCCATTCTATTCCATTCTATTCGATACCATTCCATACTATTGCATTCCATTCAATATCATTCTATTCGAATAAATTACATTCGAGACCGTTTCTTTCCAGTTCATTCTATTTGAGTCCCTTTTATTTGAGTCTATTACTTTTGGGCCCATCCCATTCCAATCCATTTCATTCCATTCCATTCCATTCCATTCCATGCCATGCCATTCCATTCCATGCCATTCCATTCCGTTCCATTTAATTCCATTCCGTTCCATTCCATTCCATTCCATTCCATTCCATTCCATTCTATGCCATTTCATTTCATTCTATTTGATTCGTGTCCATTCCATTCGATTGCATTCCATTCCATTCAATTCCACTCCATTCAATTCTGCTCCAGTCGAATACATTCCATTCCATTTCGTTCCATTTGATTACATTCCATTCTATTCCTTTCCATTCCATTGCTTTCCAATCCATTCGAGACCATTCCACTCCAATCCATTCCATTCCAGTCCATTCTAATGCGCTCCATTTCATTCGAGTCCTTTCCATTCCAGTCCATTCCATTCGTGTCCACTCAATTCCATTCCATTATTTTAATATCTTTCCGTTAATCTCCATTCCATTCTATTCATTTCTATTCCATTCAATTCCATTTCATTGGATTCCATTCCTTTCGATTCCGTTACATGTCACTCCATTCCATTCCAGTCCATTCCATTCGCGTACATTCCATTCAATTCCATTCGATATCATTCGATGAAACTTTATTTCTTTCTACTGTTTTTGACTCCATTCAATTACATTCCAATTCGCTCCATTCCATTCGATTCCATTCCATTCGAATCCATTCCATTCCATTCCATTCCATTCCATTCCATTCCATTCCATTCCATTCCATTCAATTCGAATCCATTCCATTCCCTTCCATTCCATTCCATTCATTCCATTCCATTCCTTTCCATTCGAATCCAATACACTCAATTCCAATTTATTCCAATGCATTCTATTCGAGTCCATTATATTTACTTCCATTCCATTCTATTCTATTCCATTTGAGGACATTCCATTCGAGTCCATTCCATTCCTTTCTATTCCATTCCATTACATTTCATTCCATCCATTCGATGCCATTCCATTCGATTCTATTCCATTCCTTTCTGTTCCATCTGATTCCATTCTATTCCATTCCATTCAATGCGATTCCTTTCTATTCTATTCCTTTAGTTTCCATTCCATTCAATTCCGTTCCATCCGACTCCATTCCATTCTATTCCTTTCCTTTCAATTCCCTTCCTTTCCTTTCCATTGTTTTCCATTCCATTCGATTCCATTCAACTCTAGTACATTCCATTCGAGTCCATTCCATTCCATTATATTCCTTTCGAGTCCATTCAATTCTTTTCCATTCGATATTTTACCTTTTAACTCCATTGCATTCCATTTCGTTCAATGCCATTCCATTTTATTATATTCCTTTCATGTCGTTTCCATTGGAGTACGCTCCATTCCTTGCCATTGGATGCCATTCCATTATATTGAATTCCATTCTATTTCTTTCCTTTGGACTACATTCCACTGAAATCCATTGCACTCCATTATACACCGTCCCATTGCATTCCATTCCATTCCATTCCATGGCATTCCTTCCATTACATTTCATTACATTCCATCCGATTCCATTCCATTCCAGTCTATTCCATTCCATTGCGTTACTTTCTATGCCATTCCATGCATTCAATTCCGTTCTACTTGATTACATTCCATTCGATTTCAGTCCTTTCGAATCTAATACATTGTCATCCATTACATTCGAGGCTGTTCTATGTGAGTCCATTCCACTCGGGTCCATTCCATTCGATTCCATTCCATTTGATTCCATGCCACACTGTTGCATTCCATTGAATTCCACTCTATTCGAATAAATTCCATTCAATACCATTCCTTTCTCTTCCATTCTATTTGTGTCCATTCCATTCGAGTTCATTACGTTTAGTTCCATTCCATTCTATTCTAATCCATTTGAGTACATTCCATTCGAGTCCATTCCATTCCATTCCATTCAATTCCATTCCATTCGATATCATTCTACACGATTATTTTCCATTCGACTCCATTACATTGCATTCCATTCTATCCGATTCCATTCCATTCTTTACCTTTCCGTTCCTTTCTATTCCATTCCATTCGTATCCATTCCTTTCCATTCCATATCTTTCCATTCGTTGACATTCCAATCTATTCTTTTCCTTTCGCCTCCATTCCATTCCATAGTATTTATTCTACTCCATTCCTTTCCATTGCATTCCATTCGTTTCCATTCCATTAGTTTTCACTGCACGCCAGTCTATTCCATTCTATTCCATTCCATTCCTGACCATTCCATTCGATTTCTTTTCGATCCATTCCATTCAATATCTTTCCTTTGCACTCCATTTTGTTCTATTACTTTCAATTCCATTCAATTCCTTTCCTTTCTGTTCCATTGCATTCGACTCCATTCCATTGGAGCTATTCCATTGCATTCCATTCCATTCCATTACATTCTGTTCCATTCCAATCTGGTGGAATCCATTTTATTCCTTTCCACTCCATTCGAGTACAATCCATTCCAGTCCATTCTATTCGAGTCCATTCCTTTCGAGTCCATTCCACTCCAGTCAATTACATTTGACTCCATTTCACTCCAGTCCATTCCATTCGTTTCTGTTGAATTCCATTCCATTCCATTAGGGTCCATTCCATTCCTTTCCAATCCGTTCGATATCTTTCCATTACCTTCCATTCCATTCCATTCCATTCCATTCCATTCCATTCCATTCTATTCCTTTCCATTCCATTTCATTCCATTCCATTCCAGTGCGTTCTACTCCGATCCAATGGAGACCATTCCATTCCATTCCGTTCCGTTCGATTCCAATCAGTTCGATTCCGTTTTGTCCCTCTTCCATTTCTTTTGAGTCCATTCCATTCGATTTCATTCCATTCGATTCCATTACACTCGATTTCACTCCGTACCTTTCCTTTCCTTTGCATTCCATTCTATTCCATTGCATTGAACTCAAATCCCTTCAATTTTATTACATTCCATTCGATTCCATTCCATTTGAATCAATTACATTGCAATCCATTAAATTCGAGTCTGTTCTCTTCCAGTCCATTCCATTCCCGTCCATTCCATTTGATTCCATTCCAATCGATTCCATTCCACTTCATTCAACTCCATTCCACTCCGTTGCATTCCATGCTATTCCATTCCAGTACAATCCTATCCATTCCATTGGATTCCATTCCATTCAATTCCATTCCATTTGAATGAATTAGAATTCAATCCATTACACTGCAGTCCGTTCTATGGCAGTCCATTCCATTCTGGTCCATTCTATTTGATTCCATTACATTCGATTCCATTCCATTCTATTGCATTCCATTCGATTCCATTGTATTGAATAAATTCCATTTGAGACCTTTCCTTTCGATTCCATTCTATTTGAGTATATTCCTTTCGAGTGCATTACATTTGGGTCCATTCCATTCCATTCAATTCCATTCCATTTAGTATCTTACCATTACACGCCATTCCATCCTATTCTTTTCAATTCCATTGAATTCGTTTCCATTCCATTTGTCTCTTCTCCATTCGAGTCCATTCCATTCCATTGCATTCCATTCCGTTCGATTCCAATCTGTTCAAATCCATTTTGATCCATTCCATTCCATTGGAGTCCATTACATTCCTGTCCATTCCTTCGTCTCCATTCCATTAAATTCCATTCCATTCCATTATATTCAATATCATCCCTTTACACTCCATTCCTTTCTATTATTTTTGATTCCATTCACTTGCAATCCATTTGATTACATTCCATTCTATTCCTTTACATTCCTCTCTACTCCAGTCGAGTTCATTCCATTCCATTCCATTCTGTTCGACTCCAATCCATTTGATTCAATTTGGTTGGACTCCATTCCTTTCGAGTCCATTCCTTTTGAGTCCACTCCATTCCATTCCATTCCTTTTGAGGACACTCTATTCGACTCCATTTCATGAAACTCCATTCCATTCCATTCTGTCCAATCGGATTCCATAACGTTCTATTCCTTTCCGTTCCATTCCGTTCCATTCTTTTCATTCCATTCGATTCCATTCCATTCCAGTCCATTCCATTAGAGAACATTCCATTCCAATCCATTTCTTTCCACTCCATTCCTTTTCGTTCAATTCCTTTCCAATCCATTTCATTCCAATCGATATCTTTCCATTACTCTCAATTCCATTCTCTTCCTTTCTATTCCATTCAATTGCATTCCATTTGAATCCATGCAATTCGATGCGTTTGCATTTGACTCCATTCCATTCGTGTCCATTCCATACCATTCCTGTCCATTTGATTCCTTTTTGTTCCAGTCCATTCCTTTCGAGTCAATTCCTTTCGAGTCAATTCCATTCAAGTCCATTCAATTCGATTTTGTTCCCATTGATTCCATTCCACTCGATTCCATTCCAATCGATTCCACTCTGCTCCTTTCCAATGCATTCCATGCTACTCCATTATATTGAATTCCGTTCCATTCCATTTGATTCCATTCCATTCGATTCCATTCCATTCGATTCCATTCAATGGTATTGTATTCCATTTGATTCCATTCTATTCAAATAAATTCCGCTCGAGGCCATTCCTTTCGACACTATTATATTTCAGTCGATTCCATTGGAGTCCATTACATTTGAGTCCATTCCATTCCATTCGGTTCCGTTCCATTCCGTTCCATTCCATTTCATTTGATGCCATTCGATTCCAATATCTTCCATTGCTTTCCATTCCATTCAAGTCCCTTTCATTCAATACCATTACCATCGATTCTATTTTATTTGAATCCATTCTATTCCAATCCATTCCATTCCATTCCATTTGATTCCCTTCCTTTCAATTCCATTTCATTCCATTCCATTTCATTCCATTCCATTCGTTTCCATTCCATTTGTGTACATTCCTCTCCAGTCCGTTTTGATCGAGTCCATTCCATTCCAGTGCATTCCATTCGAGTTCATTCCATTCCCTTCCTTTCGATATCATTCAATTACACTCTATTCCTTTCTATTCCTTTTGATTCCATTCAGTTTCATTCCATTGGATTCCATTCCTTTCAGGTCCATTACATTCGAATACATTCCATTCGAGTCCATTCCACTCCATTCCATTCCATTCCTTTCTGTTCCGTTCGATTCTATTCCAGTAGATTCCTTTGCTTTCCATTCCATTCCATTACATTCCTTTCCATTCCATTTGAGTCCATTCCATTCCAGTCCATTCCATTCGAGTCCATTCCATTCGATTGCATTCCATTCCATTTGAATAAATTACATAGCAATATATTACGTTCCTGTCCATTCACTTCCAGTTCATTCCATTCCTGTCCATTCCATTCAATTCCATTCCATTCGATTCGATTCAATAGTATTGCATTCCATTCGATTCCATTCTATTGGAATAAATTCGATTCGACAACTTTCGTTAACAGTCCTATATATTCGAATCCTTTCCATTCCATTCCATTCCATTTATTCCATTTCATTCGATTCCTTTCCATTGCATTGCCTTCCATTCCATTTGTTTACATTCTATCCGATTCCATTACATTTGAATCAATTATATTGCAATTTATTGCATTTGAGTCCGTTCAATTGCACTCCATTCCGTTCCATTCCATTCCATTCTATTCCATTCTATTCGATACCATTCCATACTATTGCATTCCATTCAATATCATTCTATTCGAATAAATTACATTCGAGACCATTTCTTTCCACTTCATTCTATTTGAGTCCCTTTTATTTGAGTCTATTACTTTTGGGCCCATCCCATTCCAATCCATTTCATTCCATTCCATTCCATTCCATACCATGCCATGCCATTCCATTCCACGCCATACCATTCCATTCCATTCCATTCCATTCCATTCCATTCCATTCCATTCCATTCTATGCCATTTCATTTCATTCTATTCAATTCGTGTCCATTCCATTCGATTGCATTCCATTCCATTCAATTCCACTCCATTCAACTCTGCTCCAGTCGAATCCATTCCATTCCATTTCGTTCCATTGGATTACATTCCATTCTATTCCTTTCCAATCCATTCGAGACCATTCCACTCCAATCCATTCCATTCGAGTCCATTCTAATGCGCTCCATTTCATTCGAGTCCTTTCATTCCAGTCCATTCCATTCGTGTCCACTCAATTCCATTCCATTATTTTAATATCTTTCCATTAATCTCCATTCCATTCTATTCATTTCTATTCCATTCAATTCCATTTCATTGGATTCCATTCCTTTCGATTCCGTTACATGTCACTCCATTCCATTCCAGTCCATTCCATTCGCGTACATTCCATTCAATTCCATTCGATATCATTCGATGAAACTTTATTTCTTTCTACTGTTTTTGACTCCATTCAATTACATTCCAATTCGTTCCATTCCATTCGATTCCATTCCATTCCATTCCATTCCATTCCATTCCATTCCATTCCATTCCTTTCCATTCGAATCCAATACACTCAATTCCAATTTATTCCAATGCATTCCATTCGAGTCCATTATATTTACTTCCATTCCATTCTATTCTATTCCATTTGAGTACATTCCATTCGAGTCCATTCCATTCCTTTCTATTCCATTCCATTACATGCCATTTCATCCATTCGATGCCGTTCCATTCTATTCTATTCCATTCCTTTCTGTTCCATCTGATTCCATTCCATTCCATTCCATTCAATACGATTCCTATCTATTCTATTCCTTTAGTTTCCATACAATTCAATTCCGTTCCATCCGATTCCATTCCATTCTATTCCTTTCCTTTCAATTCCCTTCCTTTCCTTTCCATTGTTTTCCATTCCATTCGATTCCATTCAACTCTAGTACATTCCATTCGAGTCCATTCCATTCCATTATATTCCTTTCGCGTCCATTCAATTCTTTTCCATTCGATATTTTACCTTTTAACTCCATTGCATTCCATTTCGTTCAATGCCATTCCATTATATTATATTCCTTTCATTTCGTTTCCATTGGAGTCCGCTCCATTCCTTGCCATTGGATGCCATTCCATTATATTGAATTCCATTCTATTTCTTTCCTTTTGACTACATTCCACTGAAATCCATTGCACTCCATTATACACCGTCCCATTGCATTCCATTCCATTCCATTCCATGGCATTCCTTCCATTACATTTCATTACATTCCATCCGATTCCATTCCATTCCAGTCTATTCCATTCCATTGCGTTACTTTCTATGCCATTCCATGCATTCAATTCCGTTCTACTTGATTACATTCCATTCGATTTCAGTCCTTTCGAATCTAATACATTGTCATCCATTACAATCGAGGCTGTTCTATGTGAGTCCATTCCACTCGGGTCCATTCCATTCGATTCCATTCCATTTGATTCCATGCCACACTGTTGCATTCCATTGAATTCCACTCTATTCGAATAAATTCCATTCAATACCATTCCTTTCTCTTCCATTCTATTTGTGTCCATTCCATTCGAGTTCATTACGTTTAGTTCCATTCCATTCTATTCTAATCCATTTGAGTACATTCCATTCTAGTCCATTCCATTCCGTTCCATTCCATTCCATTCCATTTCATTCCATTCCATTCCATTTCATTCCATTCCATTCCATTCCATTCGATATCATTCTACACGATTATTTTCCATTCGACTCCATTACATTGCATTCCATTGTATCCGATTCCATTCCATTCTTTACCTTTCCGTTCCTTTCTATTCCCTTCCATTCGTATCCATTACTTTCCATTCCATATCTTTCCATTCGGTGACATTCCAATCCATTCTTTTCCTTTCGCCTCCATTCCATTCCATAGTATTTATTCTACTCCATTCCTTTCCATTGCATTCCATTCGTTTCCATTCCATTCGTTTTCATTGCACGCCAGTCTATTCCATTCTATTCCATTCCATTCCTGTCCATTCCATTCGATTTCTTTTCTATCCATTCCATTCAATATCTTTCCTTTGCACTCCATTTTGTTCTATTACTTTCAATTCCATTCAATTCCTTTCCTTTCTGTTCCATTGCATTCGACTCCATTCCATTGGAGCTATTCCATTGCATTCCATTCCATTCCATTCCATTACATTCTGTTCCATTCCAATCTGGTGGAATCCATTTTATCCCTTTCACTCCATTCGAGTACAATCCATTCCAGTCCATTCTATTCGAGTCCATTCCTTTCGAGTCCATTCCACTCCAGTCAATTACATTCGACTCCATTTCACTCCAGTCCATTCCATTCGTTTCTGTTGAATTCCATTCCATTCCATTAGGGTCCATTCCATTCCTTTCCAATCCGTTCGATATCTTTCCATTCCATTCCATTCCATTCCATTCCATTCCATTCCATTCTATTCCTTTCCATTCCATTTCATTCCATTCCATTGCAGGCCGTTCTACTCCGATCCAATGAAGACCATTCCATTCCATTCCGTTCCATTCGATTCCAATCAGTTCGATTCCGTTTTGTCCCTCGTCCATTTCTTTTGATTCCATTCCATTCGAATTCTTTCCATTCGATTCCATTACACTCGATTTCACTCCGTACCTTTCCTTTCCTTTGCATTCCATTTTATTCCATTGTATTGAACTCAAATCCCTTCAATTTTATTACATTCCATTCGATTCCATTCCATTTGAATCAATTACATTACAATCCATTAAATTCAAGTCTGTTCTCTTCCAGTCCATTCCATTCCCGTCCATTCCATTTGATTCCATTCCGATCGATTCCATTCCACTTCATTCAACTCCATTCCACTCCGTTGCATTCCATGCTATTCCATTCCAGTACAATCCTATCCATTCCATTGGATTCCATTCCATTCAATTCCATTCCATTTGAATGAATTAGAATTCAATCCATTACACTGCAGTCCGTTCTATGGCAGTCCATTCCATTCTGGTCCATTCTATTTGATTCCATTACATTCGATTCCATTCCATTCTATTGCATTCCATTCGATTCCATTGTATTGAATAAATTCCATTTGAGACCTTTCCTTTCGATTCCATTCTACTTGAGTATATTCCTTTCGAGTGCATTTCATTTGGGTCCATTCCATTCCATTCAATTCCATTCCATTTAGTATCTTACCATTACACGCCATTCCATCCTATTCTTTACAATTCCATTGAATTCGTTTCCATTCCATTTATCTCTTCTCCATTCGAGTCCATTCCATTCCATTGCATTCCATTCCGTTCGATTCCAATCTGTTCAAATCCATTTTGATCCATTCCATTCCATTGGAGTCCATTACATTCCTGTCCATTCCTTCGACTCCATTCCATTAAATTCCATTCCATTCCATTATAGTCAATATCATCCCGTTACACTCCATTCCTTTCGATTATTTTTGATTCCATTCACTTGCAATCCATTTGATTACATTCCATTCTATTCCTTTACATTCCTCTCTACTCCAGTCGAGTTCATTCCATTCCATTCCATTCTGTTCGACTCCAATCCATTTGATTCAATTTGGTTGGACTCCATTCCTTTCGAGTCCATTCCTTTTGAGTCCACTCCATTCCATTCCATTCCTTTTGATGCCACTCTATTCGACTCCATTTCATGAAACTCCATTCCATTCCATTCTGTCCAATCGGATTCCATAACATTCTATTCCTTTCCGTACCATTCCGGTCCATTCTTTTCATTCCATTCGATTCCATTCCACTCCAGTCCATTCCATTGGAGACCATTCCATTCCAATCCATTTCTTTCCACTCCATTCCTTTCCATTCAATTCCTTTCCATTCCATTTCATTCCATTCGATATCTTTCCATTACTCTCAATTCCATTCTCTTCCTTTCTATTCCATTCAATTGCATTCCATTTGAATACATTCTATTCGATGCGTTTGCATTTGACTCCATTCCATTCGTGTCCATTCCATCCCATTCCTGTCCATTTGATTCCTTTTTGTTCTAGTCCATTCCTTTCGAGTCAATTCCTTTTGAGTCAATTCCATTCAAGTCCATTCATTTCGATTTTGTTCCCATTGATTCCATTCCACTCGATTCCATTCCACTCGATTCCACTCTGCTCCTTTCCAATGCATTCCATTCTACTCCATTATATTGAATTCCGTTCCATTCCATTTGATTACATTCCATTCGATTCCATTCCATACGATTCAATTCAATGGTATTGTGTTGCATTTGATTCCATTCTATTCAAATAAATTCCGCTCGAGGCCATTCCTTTCGACACTATTATATTTCAGTCGATTCCATTGGAGTCCATTACATTTGAGTCCATTCCATTCCATTCGGTTCCGTTCCATTCCGTTCCATTCCATTTCATTCGATGCCATTCGATTCCAATATCTTCCATTGCTTTCCATTCCATTCAAATCCCTTTCATTCAATACCATTCCCATCGATTCTATTTTATTTGAATCCATTCTATTGCAATCCATTCCATTCCATTCCATTCCATTTGATTTCGTTCCTTTCAATTCCATTTCATTGAATTCCATTTCATTCCATTCCATTCGTTTCCATTCCATTTGTGTACATTCCTCTCCAGTCCGTTCTGATCGAGTCCATTCCATTCCAGTGCATTCCATTCGAGTTCATTCTATTCCCTTCCATTCGATATCATTCAATTACACTCTATTCCTTTCTATTCCTTTTGATTCCATTCAATTCCATTCCATTGGATTCCATTCCTTTCAGGTCCACTACATTCGAATACATTCCATTTGAGTCCATTCCACTCCATTCCATTCCATTCCTTTCTGTTCCGTTCGATTCTATTCCAGTAGATTCCTTTGCTTTCCATTCCATTCCATTCCATTCCATTCCATTCCATTTGAGTCCATTCCACTCCAGTCCATTCCAATAGAGTCCATTCCATTCGATTGCATTCCATTCCATTTGAATAAATTACATTGAAATATAATACGTTCTTGTCCATTCACTTCCAGTTCATTCCATTCCATTCCATTCCATTCAATTCCATTCCATTCGATATCATTCTACACGATTATTTTCCATTCGACTCCATTACATTGCATTCCATTCTATCCGATTCCATTCCATTCTTTACCTTTCCATTCCTTTCTATTCCATTACATTCGTATCCATTCCTTTCCATTGCATGTCTTTCCATTCGGTGACATTCCAATCCATTCTTTTCCTTTCGCCTCCATTCCATTCCATAGTATTTATTCTACTCCATTCCTTTCCATTGCATTCCATTCGTTTCCATTCCATTCGTTTTCATTGCACGCCAGTCTATTCCATTCTATTCCATTCCATTCCTGTCCATTCCATTCGATTTCTTTTCGATCCATTCCATTCAATATCTTTCCTTTGCACTCCATTTTGTTCTATTACTTTCAATTCCATTCAATTCCTTTCCTTTCTGTTCCATTGCATTCGACTCCATTCCATTGGAGCTATTCCATTGCATTCCATTCCATTCCATTCCATTACATTCTGTTCCATTCCAATCTGGTGGAATCCATTTTATTCCTTTCAACTCCATTCGAGTACAATCCATTCCAGTCCATTCTATTCGAGTCCATTCCTTTCGAGTCCATTCCACTCCAGTCAATTACATTCGACTCCATTTCACTCCAGTCCATTCCATTCGTTTCTGTTGAATTCCATTCCATTCCATTAGGGTCCATTCCATTCCTTTCCAATCCGTTCGATATCTTTCCATTCCATTCCATTCCATTCCATTCCATTCCATTCTATTCCTTTCCATTCCATTTCATTCCATTCCATTCCAGGCCGTTCTACTCCGATCCAATGGAGACCATTCCATTCCCTTCCGTTCCATTCGATTCCAATCAGTTCGATTCCGTTTTGTCCCTCGTCCATTTCTTTTGATTCCATTCCATTCGAATTCTTTCCATTCGATTCCATTACACTCGATTTCACTCCGTACCTTTCCTTTCCTTTGCATTCCATTTTATTCCATTGTATTGAACTCAAATCCCTTCAATTTTATTACATTCCATTCGATTCCATTCCATTTGAATCAATTACATTACAATCCATTAAATTCAAGTCTGTTCTCTTCCAGTCCATTCCATTCCCGTCCATTCCATTTGATTCCATTCCGATCGATTCCATTCCACTTCATTCAACTCCATTCCACTCCGTTGCATTCCATGCTATTCCATTCCAGTACAATCCTATCCATTCCATTGGATTCCATTCCATTCAATTCCATTCCATTTGAATGAATTAGAATTCAATCCATTACACTGCAGTCCGTTCTATGGCAGTCCATTCCATTCTGGTCCATTCTATTTGATTCCATTACATTCGATTCCATTCCATTCTATTGCATTCCATTCGATTCCATTGTATTGAATAAATTCCATTTGAGACCTTTCCTTTCGATTCCATTCTACTTGAGTATATTCCTTTCGAGTGCATTTCATTTGGGTCCATTCCATTCCATTCAATTCCATTCCATTTAGTATCTTACCATTACACGCCATTCCATCCTATTCTTTACAATTCCATTGAATTCGTTTCCATTCCATTTATCTCTTCTCCATTCGAGTCCATTCCATTCCATTGCATTCCATTCCGTTCGATTCCAATCTGTTCAAATCCATTTTGATCCATTCCATTCCATTGGAGTCCATTACATTCCTGTCCATTCCTTCGACTCCATTCCATTAAATTCCATTCCATTCCATTATAGTCAACATCATCCCGTTACACTCCATTCCTTTCGATTATTTTTGATTCCATTCACTTGCAATCCATTTGATTACATTCCATTCTATTCCTTTACATTCCTCTCTACTCCAGTCGAGTTCATTCCATTCCATTCCATTCTGTTCGACTCCAATCCATTTGATTCAATTTAGTTCGACTCCATTCCTTTCGAGTCCATTCCTTTTGAGTCCACTCCATTCCATTCCATTCCTTTTGATGCCACTCTATTCGACTCCATTTCATGAAACTCCATTCCATTCCATTCTGTCCAATCGGATTCCATAACATTCTATTCCTTTCCGTACCATTCCGGTCCATTCTTTTCATTCCATTCGATTCCATTCCACTCCAGTCCATTCCATTGGAGACCATTCCATTCCAATCCATTTCTTTCCACTCCATTCCTTTCCATTCAATTCCTTTCCATTCCATTTCATTCCATTCGATATCTTTCCATTACTCTCAATTCCATTCTCTTCCTTTCTATTCCATTCAATTGCATTCCATTTGAATACATTCTATTCGATGCGTTTGCATTTGACTCCATTCCATTCGTGTCCATTCCATCCCATTCCTGTCCATTTGATTCCTTTTTGTTCTAGTCCATTCCTTTCGAGTCAATTCCTTTTGAGTCAATTCCATTCAAGTCCATTCATTTCGATTTTGTTCCCATTGATTCCATTCCACTCGATTCCATTCCACTCGATTCCACTCTGCTCCTTTCCAATGCATTCCATTCTACTCCATTATATTGAATTCCGTTCCATTCCATTTGATTACATTCCATTCGATTCCATTCCATACGATTCAATTCAATGGTATTGTGTTGCATTTGATTCCATTCTATTCAAATAAATTCCGCTCGAGGCCATTCCTTTCGACACTATTATATTTCAGTCGATTCCATTGGAGTCCATTACATTTGAGTCCATTCCATTCCATTCGGTTCCGTTCCATTCCGTTCCGTTCCATTTCATTCGATGCCATTCGATTCCAATATCTTCCATTGCTTTCCATTCCATTCAAATCCCTTTCATTCAATACCATTCCCATCGATTCTATTTTATTTGAATCCATTCTATTGCAATCCATTCCATTCCATTCCATTCCATTTGATTTCGTTCCTTTCAATTCCATTTCATTGAATTCCATTTCATTCCATTCCATTCATTTCCATTCCATTTGTGTACATTCCTCTCCAGTCCGTTCTGATCGAGTCCATTCCATTCCAGTGCATTCCATTCGAGTTCATTCTATTCCCTTCCATTCGATATCATTCAATTACACTCTATTCCTTTCTATTCCTTTTGATTCCATTCAATTCCATTCCATTGGATTCCATTCCTTTCAGGTCCACTACATTCGAATACATTCCATTTGAGTCCATTCCACTCCATTCCATTCCATTCCTTTCTGTTCCGTTCGATTCTATTCCAGTAGATTCCTTTGCTTTCCATTCCATTCCATTCCATTCCATTCCATTCCATTTGAGTCCATTCCACTCCAGTCCATTCCAATAGAGTCCATTCCATTCGATTGCATTCCATTCCATTTGAATAAATTACATTGAAATATAATACGTTCTTGTCCATTCACTTCCAGTTCATTCCATTCCATTCCATTCCATTCAATTCCATTCCATTCGATATCATTCTACACGATTATTTTCCATTCGACTCCATTACATTGCATTCCATTCTATCCGATTCCATTCCATTCTTTACCTTTCCATTCCTTTCTATTCCATTACATTCGTATCCATTCCTTTCCATTGCATATCTTTCCATTCGGTGACATTCCAATCCATTCTTTTCCTTTCGCCTCCATTCCATTCCATAGTATTTATTCTACTCCATTCCTTTCCATTGCATTCCATTCGTTTCCATTCCATTCGTTTTCATTGCACGCCAGTCTATTCCATTCTATTCCATTCCATTCCTGACCATTCCATTCGATTTCTTTTCGATCCATTCCATTCAATATCTTTCCTTTGCACTCCATTTTGTTCTATTACTTTCAATTCCATTCAATTCCTTTCCTTTCTGTTCCATTGCATTCGACTCCATTCCATTGGAGCTATTCCATTGCATTCCATTCCATTCCATTACATTCTGTTCCATTCCAATCTGGTGGAATCCATTTTATTCCTTTCAACTCCATTCGAGTACAATCCATTCCAGTCCATTCTATTCGAGTCCATTCCTTTCGAGTCCATTCCACTCCAGTCAAT
The DNA here is from genome assembly GCF_000001405.40 of Homo sapiens. Taxonomy (NCBI): domain Eukaryota; kingdom Metazoa; phylum Chordata; class Mammalia; order Primates; family Hominidae; genus Homo; species Homo sapiens. The sequence goes on along the minus strand of NC_000024.10, from coordinate 11,541,320 downwards.
TACATTCGACTCCATTTCACTCCAGTCCATTCCATTCGTTTCTGTTGAATTCCATTCCATTCCATTAGGGTCCATTCCATTCCTTTCCAATCCGTTCGATATCTTTCCATTACCTTCCATTCCATTCCATTCCATTCCATTCCATTCTATTCCTTTCCATTCCATTTCATTCCATTCCATTCCAGTCCGTTCTACTCAGATCCAATGGAGACCATTCCATTCCATTCCGTTCCGTTCGATTCCAATCAGTTCGATTCCGTTTTGTCCCTCGTCCATTTCTTTTGAGTCCATTCCATTCGATTTCATTCCATTCGATTCCATTACACTCGATTTCACTCCGTACCTTTCCTTTCCTTTGCATTCCATTTTATTCCATTGTATTGAACTCAAATCCCTTCAATTTTATTACATTCCATTCGATTCCATTCCATTTGAATCAATTACTTTGCAATCCATTATATTTGAGTCTGTTCTCTTCCAGTCCATTCCATTCCCGTCCATTCCATTTGATTCCATTCCAATCGATTCCATTCCACTTCATTCAACTCCATTCCACTCCGTTGCATTCCATGCTATTCCATTCCAGTACAATCCTATCCATTCCAATGGATTCCATTCCATTCAATTCCATTCCATTTGAATGAATTAGAATTCAATCCATTACACTGCAGTCCGTTCTATGGCAGTCCATTCCATTCTGGTCCATTCTATTTCATTCCATTACATTCGATTCCATTCCATTCTATTGCATTCCATTCGATTCCATTGTATTGAATAAATTCCATTTGAGACCTTTCCTTTCGATTCCATTCTATTTGAGTATATTCCTTTCGAGTGCATTACATTTGGGTCCATTCCATTCCATTCAATTCCATTCCATTTAGTATCTTACCATTACACGCCATTCCATCCTATTCTTTTCAATTCCATTGAATTCGTTTCCATTCCTTTTCTCTCTTCTCCATTCGAGTCCATTCCATTCCATTGCATTCCATTCCGTTCGATTCCAATCTGTTCAAATCCACTTTGATCCATTCCATTCCATTGGAGTCCATTACATTCCTGTCCATTCCTTCGTCTCCATTCCATTAAATTCCATTCCATTCCATTACAGTCAATATCATCCCGTTACACTTCATTCCTTTCTATTATTTTTGATTCCATTCACTTGCAATCCATTTGATTACATTCCATTCTATTCCTTTACATTCCTCTCTACTCCAGTCGAGTTCATTCCATTCCATTCCATTCTGTTCGACTCCAATCCATTTGATTCAATTTAGTTCGACTCCATTCCTTTCGAGTCCATTCCTTTTGAGTCCTCTCCATTCCATTCCATTCCTTTTAATGCCACTCTATTCGACTCCATTTCATGAAACTCCATTCCATTCCATTCTGTCCAATCGGATTCCATAACATTCTATTCCTTTCCGTACCATTCCGGTCCATTCTTTTCATTCCATTCGATTCCATTCCACTCCAGTCCATTCCATTGGAGACCATTCCATTCCAATCCATTTCTTTCCACTCCATTCCTTTCCATTCAATTCCTTTCCATTCCATTTCATTCCAATCGATATCTTTCCATTACTCTCAATTCCATTCTCTTCCTTTCTATTCCATTCAATTGCATTCCATTTGAATCCTTTCCATTTGATACGTTTGCATTTGACTCCATTCCATTCGTGTCCATTCCATCCCATTCCTGTCCATTTGATTCCTTTTTGTTCCAATCCATTCCTTTCGATTCAATTCCTTTCGCGTCAATTCCTTTCGAGTCAATTCCATACAACTCCATTCAATTCGATTTCGTTCCCTTTGATTCCATTCCACTCGATTCCACTCTGCTCCTTTCCAATGCATTCCATTCTACTCCATTATATTGAATTCCGTTCCATTCCATTTGATTACATTCCATTCGATTCCATTCCATTCGATTCCATTCAATACTATTGTATTCCATTTGATTCCATTCTATTCAAATAAATTCCGCTCGAGGCCATTCCTTTCGAGACTATTATATTTCAGTCGATTCCATTCGAGTCCATTACATTTGAGTCCATTCCACTCCATTCGGTTCCGTTCCATTCCGTTCCACTCCATTTCATTCGATGCCATTCGATTCCAATATCTTCCATTGCTTTCCATTCCATTCAAGTCCCTTCCATTCAATACCATTCCCATTGATTCTATTTTATTTGAATCCATTCTATTCCAATCCATTCCATTCCATTCCATTCCATTTGGTTCCGTTCCTTTCAATTCCATTTCATTCCATTCCATTTCATTGCATTCCATTCGTTTCCATTCCATTTGTGTACATTCCTCTACAGTCCGTTCTGATCGAGTCCATTCCATTCCAGTGCATTCCATTCGAGTTCATTCCATTCCCTTCCATTCGATATCGTTCAATTACACTCTATTCCTTTCTATTCCTTTTGATTCCATTCAATTCCATTCCATTGGATTCCATTCCTTTCAGGTCCATTACATTCGAATACATTCCATTCGAGTCCATTCCACTCCATTCCTTTCCATTCCTTTCTGTTCCGTTCGATTCTATTCCAGTAGATTCCTTTGCTTTCACTTCCTTTACATTACATTCCTTTCCATTCCATTTAAATCCATTCCACTCCAGTCCATTCCAATCGAGTCAATTCCATTCGATTGCATTCCATTCCATTTGAATAAATTACATTGCAATATATTACGTTCTTGTCCAGTCATTTCCAGTTCATTCCATTCCTGTCCATTCCATTCAATTCCATTCCATTCGATTCGATTCAATAGTATTGCAATCCATTCGATTCCATTCTATTGGAATAAATTCGATTCGACACCTTTCCTTAACAGTCCAATATATTCGCGTCCTTTCCATTCCATTCCATTCCATTTATTCCATTTCATTCGATTCCTTTCCATTGCATTGCCTTCCATTCCATTTGTTTACATTCTATTCGATTCCATTCCATTTGAATCAATTATATTGCAATTTATTGCATTTGAGTCTGTTCAATTGCACTACATTCCGTTCCATTCCATTCCATTCTATTCCATACTATTCGATAGCATTCCATACTATTGCATTCCATTCAATATCATTCTATTCGAATAAATTACATTGGAGACCGTTTCTTTCCACTTCATTCTATTTGAGTCCCTTTTATTTGAGTCTATTTCTTTGAGCCCATCCCCTTCCAATCCATTTCATTCCATTCCATTCCATTACATGCCATGCCATTCCATTCTATGCCATTCCATTCCATTCCATTCCGTTCCATTCCATTCCATTCCATTTCATTCCATTCTAGGCTATTTCATTTCATTCTATTCGATTCGTGTCCATTCCATTTGATTGCATTCCATTCCATTCAATTCCACTACATTCAATTCTGTTCCAGTCGAATCCATTCCATTCCATTTCGTTCCATTTGATTACATTCCATTCTATACCTTTCCATTCCATTCGTTTCCAATCCATTCGAGACCATTCCACTCCAATCCATTCCATTCGAGTCCATTCTAATGCGCTCCATTTCATTCGAGTCCTTTCCATTCCAGTGCATTCCTTTCGTGTCCACTCAATTCCATTCCATTATTTTAATATCTTTCCATTAAACTCCATTCCATTGTATTCCTTTCTATTCCATTCAATTCCATTTCATTGGATTCCATTCCTTTCGATTCCGTTACATTTCACTGCATTCCATTCGAGTCCATTCCATTCGCGTACATTCCACTCAATTCCATTCGATATCATTCGATTAAACTTCATTTCTTTCTACTGTTTTTGACTCCATTCAATTACATTCCAATTCGTTCCATTCCATTCGATTCCATTCCATTCGTATCCATTCCATTCTATTCCATTCCATTCCTTTCCATTCGAATCCAATACACTCAATTCCAATTTATTCCAATGCATTCCATTCGAGTCCATTATATTTACTTCTATTCCATTCTATTGTATTCTATTTGACTACATTCCATTCGAGTCCATTCCATTCCTTTCTATTCCATTCCATTACATTCCATTCCAATCCTTTCGATGCCATTCCATTCGATTCTATTCCTTTACTTTCTATTCCATCTGATTCCATTCCATTCCATTCCATTCAATGCCATTCCTTTCTATTCTATTCCTTTAGTTTCCATTCCATTCAATTCCGTTCCATCCGATTCCATTCCATTCTATTCCTTTCCTTTCAATTCCTTTCCTTTCCTTTCCATTGTTTTCCATTCCATGCGATTCCATTCAACTCTAGTACATTCCATTCGAGTCCATTCCATTCCATTATATTCCATTCGAGTCCATTCAATTCTTTTCCTTTCGATATTTTACCTTTTAACTCCATTGCATTCCATTTCCTTCAATGCCATTCCGTTATATTATATTCCTTTCATGTCGTTTCCATTGGAGTCCGCTCCATTCCTTGCCTTTGGATGCCATTCCATTATATTGAATTCCATTCTATTTCTTTCCTTTTGACTACATTCCACTGAAATCCATTGCACTCCATTATACACCGTCCCATTGCATTCCATTCCATTCCATTCCATGGCATTCCTTCCATTATATTTCATTACATTCCATCCGATTCCATTCGATTCCAGTCTATTCCATTCCATTGCATTACTTTCTATGCCATTCCATGCATTCAATTCCGTTCTACTTGATTACATTCCATTCGATTTCAGTCCTTTCGAATCTAATATATTGTAATCCATTACATTCGAGGCTGTTCTATGTGAGTCCATTCCACTCAGGTCCATTCCATTCGATTCCATTCCATTTGATTCCATGCCACACTCTTGCATTCCATTGAATTCCACTCTATTCGAATAAATTCCATTCAATACCATTCCTTTCTCTTCCATTCTATTTGTGTCCATTCCATTCGAGTTCATTACGTTTAGTTCCATTCCATTCTATTCTAATCCATTTGAGTACATTCCATTCGAGTCCATTCCATTCCATTCCATTCCATTAAATTCCATTCCATTCGATATCATTCTACTCGTTTACTTTCCCTTCGACTCCATTACATTGCATTCCATTCTATCCGATTCCATTCCATTCTTTACCTTTCCGTTCCTTTCTATTCCATTCCATTCGTATCCATTCCTTTCCATTCCGTATCTTTCCATTCGGTGACATTCCAATCCATTCTTTTCCTTTCGCCTCCATTCCATTCCATAGTATTTATTCTACTCCATTCCTTTCCATTCCATTCCATTCGTTTCCATTCCATTCGTTTTCATTGCAGGCCAGTCTATTCCATTCTATTCCATTCCATTCCTGTCCATTCCATTCTATTTCTTTTCGATCTATTCCGTTCGATATCTTTCCTTTGCACTCCATTTTATTTTGTTACTTTCAATTCCATTCAATTCCTTTCCTTTCTGTTCCATTGCGTTCGACTCCATTCCATTCGTGCTATTCCATTGTATTCCATTCCATTACATTACATTCTGTTCCATTCCAATCTGGTGGAATCCATTTTATTCCTTTCCACTCCATTCGAGTTCAATCCATTCCAGTCCATTCTATTCGAGTCCATTCCACTCCAGTCAATTACATTCGACTCCATTTCACTCCAGTCCATTCCATTCGTTTCTGTTGAATTCCATTCCATTCCATTAGGGTCCATTCCATTCCTTTCCAATCCGTTCGATATCTTTCCATTTCCTTCCATTCCATTCCATTCCATTCTATTCCTTTCCATTCCATTTCATTCCATTCCATTCCAATCCGTTCTACTGCGATCCAATGGAGACCATTCCATTCCATTCCGTTCCGTTCGATTCCAATCATTTCGATTCCGTTTTGTCCCTCGTCCATTTCTTTTGAGTCCATTCCATTCGATGTCATTCCCTTCGATTCCATTACACTCGGTTTCACTCCGTACCTTTCCTTTCCTTTGCATTCCATTCTATTCCATTGCATTGAACTCAATTCCCTTCAATTTTATTACATTCCATTCGATTCCATTCCGTTTGAATCAATTACTTTGCAATCCATTATATTCGAGTCTGTTCTCTTCCAGTCCATTCCATTCCCGTCCATTCCATTTGATTCCATTCCAATCGATTCCATTCCACTTCATTCAACTCCATTCCACTCCGTTGCATTCCATTCTATTCCATTGCAGTACAATCCTATCCATTCCATTGGATTCCATTCCATTCAATTCCATTCCATTTGAATGAATTAGAATTCAATCCATTACACTGCAGTCCGTTCTATGGCAGTCCATTCCATTCTGGTTCATTCTATTTGATTCCATTACATTCGATTCCATTCAATTCTATAGCTTTCCATTCGAATCCATTGTATTGAATAAATTCCATTTGAGACCTTTCCTTTCGATTCCATTCTATTTCAGTATATTCCATTCGAGTGCATTACATTTGGTTCCATTCCATTACATTCCGTTCAATTCCATTCCATTTAGTATCTTACCATTACACGCCATTCCATCCTATTCTTTTCAATTCCATTGAATTCGTTTCCATTCCATTTGTCTCTTCTCCATTCGAGTCCATTCCATTCCATTACATTCCATTCCGTTCGATTCCAATCTGTTCAAATCCATTTTGATCCATTCCATTCCATTGGCGTCCATTACATTCCTGTCCATTCCTTCGTCTCCATTCCATTAAATTCCATTCTATTCCATTATATTCAATATCATCCCTTTACACTCCATTCCTTTCTATTATTTTTGATTCCATTCACTTGCAATCCATTTGATTACATTCCATTCTATTCCTTTACATTCCTCTCTACTCCAGTCGAGTTCATTCCATTCCATTCCATTCTGTTCGACTCCAATCCATTTCATTCAATTTGGTTCGACTCCATTCCTTTCGAGTCCATTCCTTTTGAGTCCACTCCATTCCATTCCATTCCTTTTGATGCCACTCTATTCGACTCCATTTCATGAAACTCCATTCCATTCCATTCTGTCCAATCGGATTCCATAACATTCTATTCCTTTCCGTTCCATTCCGTTCCATTCTTTTCATTCCATTCGATTCCATTCCCCTCCAGTCCACTCCGTTGGAGACCATTCCATTGCAATCCATTTCTTTCGAGTCCATTCCTTTCCATTCAATTCCTTTCCATTCCATTTCATTCCAATCGATATCTTTCCATTACTCTCAATTCCATTCTCTTCCTTTCTATTCCATTCAATTGCATTCCATTTGAATCCATTCCATTCGATGCGTTTGCATTTCACTCCATTCCATTCGAGTCCATTCCATTCCTGTCCATTTGATTCCTTTTTGTTCCAGTCCATTCCTTTCGAGTCAATTCCTTTCGAGTCAATTCCATTCAAGTCCATTCAATTCGATTTCATTCCCTTTGATTCCATTACACTCGATTCCACCCTGCTCCTTTCCAGTGCATTCCAGTCTATTCCATTATATTGAATTCCTTGCCATTCCATTTTATTACATTCCATTCGATTCCATTCGATTCTATTCCTTTCAATACTATTGTATTCCAATTGATTCCATTCTATTCAAATAAATTCCGCTCGAGTCCATTCCTTTCGAGTCTATTATATTTCATTCGATTACATACGAGTCCATTACATTTGAGTCCATTCCATTCCATTCGGTTCCGTTCCATTCCGTTCCATTCCATTTCATTCGATGCCATTCGATTCCAATATCTTCCATTGCTTTCCATTCCATTCAAGTCCCTTCCATTGAATACCATTCCAATCGATTCTATTTTATTTGAATCCATTCTATTCCAATCCATTCCATTCCTTTTGATTCCATTTGATTCAGTTCCTTTCAATTCCATTTCATTCTATTCCATTTCATTCCATTCCACTCGTTTCTATTCCATTTGTGTACATTCCTCTCCAGTCCGTTCTGATCAAGTCCATTCCATTCCAGTGCATTCCATTCGAGTTCATTCCATTCTCTTCCTTTCGATATCATTCAATTACACTCTATTCGTTTCTATTCCTTTTGATTCCATTCAATTCCATTCCATTGGATTCCATTCCCTTCAGGTCCATTACATTCGAATACATTCCATTCGAGTCCATTCCGCTCCATTCCATTCCATTCCTTTCTGTTCCGTTCGATTCTATTCCAGTAGATTCCTTTGCTTTCCGTTCCATTCCATTACATTCGTTTCCATTCCATTTGAGTCCATTCCACTCCAGTCCATTCCAATCGAGTCCATTCCATTCGATTGCATTCCATTCCATTTGAATAAATTACACTGCAATATATTACGTTCTTGTCCATTCACTTCCAGTTCATTACATTCCTGTCCATTCCATTCTATTCCATTCCGTTCGATTCGATTAAATAGCATTGCATTCCATTCGATTGGAATAAATTCAATTCGAGACCTTTCCTTAACAGTCCATTATATTCGCGTCCTTTCCATTCGATTCCATTCTATTTATTCCATTTCATTCTATTCCTTTCCATTGCATTGCCTTCCATTCCATTTGTTTGCATTCTATTTGATTCCATTCCATTTGAATCAATTATATTGCAATTTATTGCATTTGTGTCTGTTCAAATGCACTGCATTCCGTTCCATTCCATTCCATTCTATTCCATTCTATTCGATACCATTGCATACTTTTGCATTCCATTCAATATCTTTCTATTCGAATAAATTACATTCGAGACCTTTTCTTTCCAATTCATTCTATTTGAGTCCCTTTTATTTGAGTCCATTACTTTTGGGTCCGTCCCATTCCAATCCATTTCATTCCATTGCATTCCATTCCATGCCATTCCATTCCATTCCATTCCATTCCATTCCATTCCATTCTATGCCATTTCATTTCATTCTATTCCATTCGTGTCCATTCCGTTCGATTGCATTCCATTCCATTCAATTCCACTCCATTCAATTCTGTTCCAGTCTAATCCATTCCATTCCTTTTCGTTCCATTTGATTACATTCCATTCTATTCCTTTCCTTTCCATTCGTTTCCAATCCATTCGAGACCATTCAACTCCAATCCATTCCATTAGAGTCCATTCTAATGCGCTCCATTTCATTCGAGTCCTTTCCATTCCAGTCCATTCCATTCGTGTCCACTCAATTCCATTCCATTACTTTTAATATCTTTCCATTAAACTCCATTCCATTCTATTCCTTTCTATTCCATTCAATTCCATTTTATTCGATTCCATTCCTTTAGATTCCATTACATGTCACTCCATTCCATTCGAGTCCATTCCATTCCATTACATTCGATGGCATTCCTTTCGATTCTATTCAATTCTACCCCATTCCAATCTGTCCCGTTATATCCGATTCCATTCCCTTCTATTCCTTTTCTTTGCATTCCATTCTATTCTATACCATTCGATTCCAATTCACTCGAGTCCATTCCGCTCCATTCTATTCCTTTCAAGTTCATTCCATTCCAGTCCTTTCCGTTTGTGTCCATTCCATTCAATTCCATTCAATTCGATATCTTTCCATTACACTTCATTCCATTCTATTTCTTTCAATTAACTTCATTCACATTCCATTCGGTTCGATTGCATTCGATTCCTTTCCATTTGATTCTATTCTCTTCGACTCCGTTTCATTCGAGTCCATTGCATTCTATTTTGTTCTGTTTGATTAAAATCCTTTCCATTCCATTTGTTTCCAATCCATTCCATTCGTGTCCATTCCATTCTTTTCCATTGCATTCGATTCCATTCCTCTAGATTCAACTGAGTTCTCTTCCATTGTTTGCATTCCATTTTATTCCATTCCAATGCACTCCATTCCATTCCATTTGATTATATTCCATTTTATTCCATTCCATTTGAATCACTTACATTGCAATCCATTATATTCGAGTCTGTTCTATACCTGTGTATTTCATTCCATTCCACTCCATTCTATTCCATTCCATTTGATGCTATTCCATAGTTTTGCATTCCATTCCATTCCATTCCATTCAACTTGATTAAATTCCATTCGAGCCCATTGTTTTCTAATCCATTCTATTAAAGTCCATTTCATTAGAGTTCATTACATTTGGGTGCATTCCATTCCATTCCATTCCATTCCATTCCATTCCATTCCATTCCATTCGTGTCCATTACATTCGAGTCCATTCCATTCCATTCCTTTCCAATCGATGCCATTCCATTCGATTCTATTAAACTAGATTCCATTCCATTCGAGTACCTTCCGTTCCATTCCGTTCCATTTCGTTCGATTCCAATTCGTTCGATTGCATATTTTTCCATTCCATTCAATTCGTGTCCATTACATTCGATTCGATTCCATTGGTTGCCATTTCATTGGAATCCATTACACTCGATTCCACTCCGTTCCATTTCATTGCATTACATTCTATTCCATTCCATTGCATAAGTTTCCATTCCATTTGATTGCATTAAAACCGATTCCATTCCATTCATAGTAATTACATTGAAATCCATTACATTTCTGTCTGTTCTATTAATTTCCATTCCATTCTGGTGCCTTCCATTGGAATCTATTCCCTTAGAATCTATTAAATACTATTTCATTAAATTCGATTCCATTCTAATCGAATGAATTGTTTTGAGACCATTCCTTTCAAATCCATTATATTTGAGTACAGTCCATTACATTTCGGTCCATACCATTCCATTCCATTCCATTCCTTTCCCTTCGATGCCATACCATTCTAGTCTATTCCATTCGAATCCATTCCATTTCAGTTCACTCCATTCCATTCTTTTCGATTTAATTCGATGCCTTTCCATTCAATTCAATTCCATTGGGGTCCTTCCCATTCGAGTCAACTCCCTTCAATTCCATTCGATTCAATGCCATTCCATTCGATTCTATTCTATTAGACTCCATTCCCTTCCATTCCATTCCAACCGATTCCATTTAATTCTATTCGTTTCCATAGAGTTCCATTCCATTCCATTCCTTTCCTTCCTATTCCGTTTATTTCCTTTCCATTCTCGTCCATTCCACTCCACTGGATTGCATTCGAGTGCATTCCATTCGAATCAATTCCTTTCCAATCCATTCGATATCTTTCCAATACACTCGATTCCATTCTATTCCTTTTGACTCCATTCATTCTCATTCCATTAGAGTGCATTCCTTTGGATTCCGTTCCATTCGACTCCATTCCAATCGATTCCATTCTGTACGGTTCTAAGCCGTTCGATTGCATTTTTTTCCCTTCCATTCCATTCAGATACATTCCATTCCAGATCATCCCATTCGATTCCATTCCATTCGATTCCCTTTCACTCAATTCCACTCCATTCCATTCCATTGCATTCCTTTCTGTTCCATTCCATTGCAGTCCATTCCATTCCCTTTGATTACATTGTTTCGATTCCATTCCATTCGTTTCAAATACACCGCTATCCAGTACATTCGAGTCCGTTCTATTCCAGTCCATTCCATTGCCTTCCTTTCCATTTGATGCCGGTCCATTCGATTCCTTTCCATACTATTGTATTCCATTCCTTTCAATTCTAATCAAATCAACTCCATTCGAGGCCATTCCTTTCGAGTCCATTCTATTTGAGTCCCTTTGATTCGAGTCCATTACATTTGGGTCTATTCCATTCCATTCCATTCCATTCCATTCTATACCGTTCCATGCCATTCCATTCTATTCGACTCCATTCCATTCGACTCCATTCCAATCCATTCCATTCTGATCGATTCTAAGCCGTTCAATTGCATTTTTTTCCCTTCCATTCCATTTGGATACATTGCTTTCCAGACCCTACCATTCGATTCCATTCCATTTGATTCCTTTTCACTCCATTCCACTCCATTCTATTCAATTGCACTCCTTTCTATTCCATTCTATTGCACTCTATTCCATTCCATTTGATTATATTTTTTCGATCCATTCCATTCGTTTCAACTACACCGCTATCAAGTACATTCAAGTCCATTCTATTTCAGACCATTCCATTCCATTGCCTTCCTTTCCATTTGATACCTTTACATTCGATTATTTTCCATACTATCGTATTCCATTCCATTCCTCTCTATTCAAATTAACTCCATTCGAGGCCATTCCTTTGGAGTCCGTTCTATTTGACTGCCTTGGATTCGAGTCCATTACATTTGAGTCTATTCCATTCCATTCCATTACACTCCATTCCATTCCATTCCACTCCATTCCATTGTATTCCATTCCATTCCATTCCATTCCATTCCATTCCATTCCATTCCATTTCATTCCATGATATTCCATTCTATTCTATTCCATTGGAGTCGATTATATTCGGGTGCATTCCATTAAATTACATTCCATTATATTCGATACCCTTCTCTTCGGTGCCATTCCATTTTATTCTATTCCATTTCACTCCTTTCTATTCATTTCCGTTACATCCAATTACATGCATTCTATTCCTTTCCTTTCCATTCCTTTCCATTCCATTCCTTTCCTTTAATTTCCATTCCATTCGTGTCCTTTCAACTCCAGTCCATTCCATTCGATTATATTCCATTCGTCTCCATTCCATTCGAGTACATTCCATTCCTTCCAATCCATTCTATTCCATTAAATTCTATTCTATTCCATTTGAGTCCATTCCATTCGAGTCCATTCCATTCCCTTCCATTCAATGCCATTCCATTTGATTCTATTGCATTCGAGTCCATTCCATTCCATTCTGTTCCATCTGGTTCCATTCCATTCTATTCCATTCCATTCGTTTCCATTCCATTCGAGTCTTTCCTTTCTATTTCATTCGATGCCATTCCATTTGATTATAATCCATTCGACTCCATTCCATTTCATTCTGTTCCAGCCGTTTCTATTCCATTCTATTCCTTTCCCTTCCATTCCATTCCATCCGTTTCCATTTCTTTCGAGTCCATTCCAGTTCACTCCTTTCCATTCAAGACCATTTCATTGAAGTCCATTCCATTCGATTCCATTCCATTCTGTTCCATTCAATATCTTTCCATTAAATTCCTTTTATGCTATTCCCTTGCATTCCTTTCGATTCCTTTCACTTTGATTCCATTCCATTCGACTCAATTCCTTTTGAAGCCATTCCATTCCGTTGCATTCCTTTCCATTCCGTTTGATTCCTACTCGTTCGATTCCATTTTTCCATTCCATTCCATTCGAGTCTGTATCATTCCAGTATATTCCAATCTACTCCATTCCATTGAAATCCATTCCCTTCGATTCAATTCCACTCGATTGCAATCCATTCCATTTCATTGCATTCCATTTTATTCCATTCCATTGCATTCCATTCCATTCAATTTCAGTACATTACATTCGATTCCATTCCATTCGAATCTATTTCTTTGTAGCTCATTACAATAGAGTCCTTTCTATTCCAGTATATTCCGTTCCTGTCCATTTCATTCGATTCCTTTCTATTCTATTACATATCATAAAAGTGTATTCCAGTCGATTCAATTCTATACGAACAATTGCCTTTCGAGACCATTCCTTTCAACTCCATTCTGTTTGATTCCTTTACATTTGTGTCCATTCCATTCCATGCCATTCCATGCCATTCCATCTCTTTCTATTCCATTCAAGTCCATTCCATTTGAGTCCATTCTCTTCCATTCAACGCCATTACATTCAATTCTATTCCGTTCGTCTCCACTCCGTTCTATTGCATACCATCCACTTCCATTTCATTCTATTACTTTCCATTGTGTTCCATTCAATTATATTTTATTCCATTCCATTCCATTCCATTCCATTCCATTCCATTCTTTTCCATTCCATTCGACTCCATTCCACTCCCGTGCATTCCATTAGAGTCTATTCCATTATTTTCCATTCAATTTGTGTCCATTTAGTTGCATTCCATGCCATTCGATATCTTTCCATTTCACTCCATTCCATTCTAATCCTTTCAACTCCATTCAATTCCATTCCATCCGTTTCCATTCCATTCGATGCCATTTCGTTCTACTCCATTCCATTCCATTCTATTCCATTTGATTCCAATCCGTTTGATAGCATTTTGTTCCAGTCAATTACATTCGAGTCCATTCCATTCCAGTCCATTCCATTCTATTCCATTCTACTCGATTCCACTCCATTCCCTTCCATTGCATTCCATTCTCTTCCATTCCATTGCACTCCTCTCCATTCCGTTTGATTACATTGCATTCGATTCCATTCCATTCATATCAATTATATTGCATTTCATGAAATATTCCAATCTATTCCATTCTGGACCATTCTATTCGATTCAATTCCATTCGATTCAATTGCACAGTACTGCAATCCTTTTGATTCCTTTCTATTCAAATATTTCCCATCCGAGTCCATTCTTTCGAGTCCATTCTATTTGATTCCACTGCATTCAAATAAAGTAAATTTCAATACATTCCATTCCATTCCATTCCTTTCCATTCTATTTGATGCCATTACATTCAATGCTATTCAATTCGAGTACATTCCGTTACAGTCCATTCCATTGCATGCCATTCCATTTGATTCATTGCCATTCCATTCTATTCTATTCCATTCGAATCCTTTCCACTCCATTCCATTCCACTCCATCCCATTACATTCTATTTTATTCCATCCCGATCCATTCCATTCCATTAGTTTCCATTCCATTCGAGTCCATTCCACTCCAGTCCAGTCCATTCTAGTCCATTCCATTCCAGTAAATTGCAATCGAGTCCATTCCATTGTATTCGGTATCTTTACATCACACTGCAGTCCATTTGATTCTTACGATTCCATTCAATTCCATTCAATTAGATTCTATTTAATTTGACTCGATTCCATGTGAGTCCATTCCATTCCATTCCATTCAATGCCATTGCATTTGATGCTATTGCATTTGAGTCCATTCCATTCGAGTCCATTCCATTCCATGCCATTCCAATCTATTCCATTCCTTTCAATATTATTCCTTTCCATTCTATTCCATTAGAGGCTATTACATTACATTCCTTTCCATATGATCCCATTCCCTTTTATTCCATTCCATTCCATTCCACTGCATTCCTTTCCTTACCATTCCATTCATTTCCATTCCATTCTATTCCATTCAATTCTAGTCCTTTCCATACGAGTCCATTCCATTCCAGTCCATTCCAATTGAATCCATTCCTATCCAGTCCATTCTATTCCTTTCCATTTGATTACAATCCGTCCTATTCCATTTTGTCCCAGTCCATTACATTCGACTCCATTCCATTGTATTCCATTCCATTCCATTCCATCTGATTCAATTCCATTCTATTCCTTTCCATTCCATTCCACTCGATTCAATTCCGTTGGTCTCCATTCCTTTTGATTCCTTTCCATTCCATTACATTCAATTCCGTTCCTTTTTATTCCAGTCTCTTTGATTCCATCTTTTTCAGTCCATTTCATTCGAGTCCATTTCATTCGATTCCATTTCATACGATTCCATTCTCTCGATTCCACTTCGTTCCATTCCATTGCATTGCATTGCATTCCATTTGATTACATCGCATTCGATTCCACTACTTTCAAATCAATTACATTTTAATCCATTATATTAGTGTCCTTTCTATTCCAGTCCATTCCTTTCCGGTCCGTAACCTTCGATTCCATTCCATTCGTTTCCATTCCATACTATTGCATTCCACTTGTTTCCATTCTATTCTAATAAATTCCATTCGATTCATTTCTTTCAAATCCATTCTATTTGAGTCCATTCCATTCGAGACCACTTCATTTTGTTCTATTCTATTTCATTCCATTTCATTCCAGTCCATTCCATTCAATTCAATTCCATTCCAATCCATGCGATATCTTTCCACTACACTCTGTTCCATTTTATTCCTTTTGATTCCATTCCATTCCATTCCATTCCATTCCATTCGACTCCATTCTATTCGATTCCATTCCATTCCGTTCCACTCACTTCTATTCTATTTGATTCCATTTTGTTCCAGTGCATTCCATTCCAGTCCAGTGCATTCGAGTCCATTTCTTTCGAATCCATTCCAATCCATTCCGTTCATTTCCATTACATTGGAGACCATTCCACTCCATTTCATTCCATTCGAATCCATTCCATTCCAGTCCATTCCATTCGATTCCATTCCATTCCATTCGATATCTTTCCACTACACTCTGTTCCATTTTATTCCTTTCGATTCCATTCCATGACATTCCATTCCATTCCATTCCTTTCGACTCCATTCCTTTCGAGTCCATTCCATTCCGTTCCACTCATTTCCATTCTATTTGATTCCATTTTGTTCCATTCCATTCCATTCCAGTCCATTCCATTCGAGTCCATTCCATTCCATTCCATTCAGTTCTGTTCTATTCCAATCCGTTCTGTTCCATTTTGTTTCAGTCCTTTCCATTCCATTCCATTCCATAATATTCGATTACAATTCGTTTAATGCCATTTACTTCCAGTCCAATCCTTTCTACTCCATTCCTTTCCATTCCATTCCATTCCACTCGATTGCACTCCGTTCCATTCCATTGCAACCCATTCTATCCCATTCATTGCATTACATTGCATTGCATTTGATTCTATTCCATTTGATTCCATTCCCTTCAAATTAACTACATTGCTATTCGTTACATTCTATTCCGTTCTTTTCCAGTCCAGTCCATTCCTTTCCACTCCATTCGATTCCATTCCATTTGATTCCATTCCATACTAATGCATTCCATTTAATTCCATTCTAATGGAATCAACTCCATTCGAGACACTTCCTTTCGAGTGCATTCTATTTGAGTCCATACCATTAGAGTCCGTTACATTTGGGTCCATTCAAAACCATTCCATTCATTCCCATTTCATTCAAATCCATTCCATTCCATTCTATTGCACTCGAGTACATTCCATTTGATTCCATTCCATTCCACTCCATTCCATTCCCTTCCATTCCATCCGATTCCATTGTATTCTATGCATTTCTATTCCTTTTCATTCCATTCCATTCATTTCCATTCCATTCAAGTCCATTTCACTGCAGTTCATATTATTCAAGTCCATTCCTGTCTTGTCCATTCCATTCGAGTCCATTCCATTCCATTCAGTATCTTTCCATAACACTCCATTCCATTCTATTCTTTTTGATTCCATTCAATTCCATTCCATGCGATTCCATTCCATTCGGTTCCATTCCATTCAACTCCACTCCATTTGAGTCCATTCCATTCCATTCCTTTCCATTCCTTCAATTCCAATATGTTCGATTCCATTTTTTCTTGTCCATTCTTTTCGAGTCCATTCCATTCCATTTGATTCCATTCCATTCGATTCCATTCTACTCTATTCCACTCCATTGCATTCGAATGGATTCCCTTCTATTCCATTCCAATGCATTCAACTCTATTCCATTTGATAACATTCCATTCGATTCCATTGAAATCGTATCAATTATATTGCAATAAATTACAATCTAGTCCATTTAATTCCAGTCCATTCCATTCCAGTGCATTCCATTCAATTCCCTTCCATTCGATTCCATTCCATACTACTGCATTCCATTCGGTTCCAATCTATTCGAATAAATTCCATTCGAGACCGTTCCTTTCGAGTCCACTCTAATTTAGTCAGTTTCATTCGATTCACTTAATTTTCGCTCCAGTCGTTTCCAGTCCATTCCATTCCATTCGATGCCTTTCCATGCTAATCTGTTCCATTCTTGGACACCCCATTTCATTCCATTCTATTTGTTTCCATTCCATTCGATTCCATCCAACTCCTGACTATTCCACTCGAGTCCATTCCATTTCATTCCATTCCATTCGAGTTCATTCCATTCCATTCCATTCCATTTGATTCCGTTCCATTCCATTCCATTCGATATCATTGCATTACACTCCATTCCATTCACTTCCTTACGATTGCATTCATTTCCATTCCAATCGGTTCCATTCCATTCAAGTCCATTCCATTCCATTCTGTTCCGTTTGATTCCAATCCATTCCATTCCATTTTGTTACACTCCATTGCATTCTGTTCTATTCCATTGTAGGCCACTCGATTCCATTTCATTCCATTCAATTCCATTCCACTCGATTTCCCGCTGTTCCATTCTATTATATTCCATTGTTTTAAATCTCATGGCATTCCATTCCCTTCCATTTGGTAACATTCCATTCTATTCTATTCCATTTCATTCCATTCCATTCCATTTGATTACATTCCATTTGATTCCATTCCATTAGAATCAATTACATTGCAATCCATTAAATTTGAGTCTGTTCTATTCCAGTCCTTTCCCATCCAAAATATTCCTTTTGATTCCAAGCCATTCGATTCCATTCCATACTATTGCATTCCATTTTATTTCATTCTCTTCGAACAAAATCCATTCGAGAACATTCATTTTGAGTTCATTCTATTTGAGTCCATTCCATTCGGGTCCATTACATTTGGGTCCATTCGCTTCCATTCCATTCCATTCCTTTCCATTCGATGCCATTCCATTGGGTTCTATTCCATTCGAATCTATTCCTTTCGAGTACATTCCATTCCATTCCATTCAATGCCATTACAATTGATTCTATTCCATTCGAATCCATTCAATTCCAATCCATTCCTTCCGATTCCATTCCATTCTATTCCTTTCCATTCCATTTCGTTCCATTCCAATCAATTCTTTTGCATTCCATTCGAGCTCATTCCACTACAGTCCATTGTATTCAAGTCCATTCCATTCCAGTCCTTTCCATTCCATTCCATTCCATTCAATATCTTTATTAAACTCTATTCCATTCTATTCATTTTGATTCCATTCAATTCCATTCCATTTGTTTCTATTCCTTTCGATTCCATTCCATTCGACTCCATTCCATTCGAGCCCATTCTGTTCCATTCCTATACGTTTCATTCCAATACTTTCGACATTTGAGTCCATTCTATTCCAGTCCTTTCCATTCTTGTCCACTCTATTGGATTCCATTCCATTCGATGCCATTCCATTCTTTTGCATTCCATTCGATTCCATTCTATTCGAATAAATTCCATTTGATACCATTCCTTTAGAGTCAATTTAATTTGAGTCCATTCCATTCTACTCCATTATATTTGGGTCCATTCCATTCCATTTCATTCCCTTCCATTCCAGTCGAAGCCATTTCATTTGATTCTATGTCATTCGAGTCCATTTTATTCCAGTCCATTCCATTCGAGTCAATACCATTCCATTCCATTCCATTCCATTTGATATATTTCCATTACACTCCCTTCCATTTTATTCCTTTCGATTCCATTCAATTCCATTCCATTCGATTCCATTCCATTCGTGTCCATTCCATTCGTGTCCATTTCATTGCATTCCATTCCACTCAATTTGATTACGTTCCATTCTATTGAAAGCAATTACATTGCAATCCATTATATTCCAGTCTGTTGTATTCCAGTCCATTCCATTCCGTTCCATTCCATTTCATTGCATTCCATTCGATTGCATTCCATACTATTGCATTACTTTTGATTCCATTCTATTCGAATAAATTCCATTCGAGGCCATACCTTTCTAATGCATCCTATATGATTCCGTTCCATTTGAGTCCATTACATTTGGGTTTATTCCATTCCATTCCATTCCATTCCATTCCGTTCCATTCCATTCCATTCCATGACATTCCATTTCATTCTTTTCCACTCAATTCCTTTCCATTCACATCCCTTCCACTACATTAAATTCCAATCCATTCGATGCCATTTAATTCAATTCTATGCCATTCGACTACATTCCATTCCATTCCGTTCCATCCAATTCCATTCCATTGCATTCCATTCCATTCCATTCCATTTCATTCCAATCCACTCCATTCCATTCGAGTCCATTCAAATCCAGTCAATTCCATTCGATTCCATTCCATTCCATTACATTACATTCATTATACTTCCATTACACTCCATAACATTCTATTCCTTTGGCATACATTCAATTCCATTCCATTCGATTCCATTCCTTTCGATTCCTTTAAAATCGATTACATTCCATTTGATTCCATTCCACTCGATTCCACTGTGTCAATTCCTTTGCATTCCATTCTATTACAGTCCATTGCATTCCATTGCATTATATTTGACGACATTCCATTCGATTCCATGCCATTAAAAACAGTTAGATTACTATCCATTATATTTGTGTACGTTCTATTCCATTCCATTCCATTCTTGTGCATTCCATTCGATTCCATTCCATTCGATTCCGTTGCATACTTTGAATTCCATTCCATTCCATTTTATTTGAAGAAATTCCATTCGAGACCATTCCTTTCGATTCCATTCTAGTAGAGCCCATTCCGTTCGGGTCCATTTGTGTCCCTTCCATTCCATTTCATTCCATTCCATTCTCATCCATTCGAGTCCATTCCATTCCATTCCATTCCATTCCATTCCATTCCATTCCATTCCATTCCATTCCACTGCATTCCATTCCAATCGATTCCATTCCATTCTATTCTATTCCATTCGACTCTATTACATTACATTTCATTCCATCCGATTCCGTTTTATTCTTCCCCTTTCCATTGCATTGATTCCATTCCATTCATTTCCATTCCATTCGAGTCCATTCCACTCCAGTCCATTCCATTCTAGTCCATTACATTCCTTTCAATTCCATTCCATATGTTTCCATCACACTCCATTAAATTCTTTTTCTTTCTATTTTTTCTATTCCACCCCATTAGATTCCATTTCTTTCTACCCCAATCCATTCAAGTCCTTTCCAATCCTTTCCATTCTGTTCCACTTGATTCCAATCCATTTGATTCCATTTTGTTCCAGTAGATTCCACTCGAATCGATTCCATTCCAGTACATTCCATTCGATTCCATTCCATTTGATTCCATTCCACTCGATTCCACTACCTTTCATTCCATTGCATTCCATTCTATTCTATTCCAATGCATTCCTTTCCATTCCATTCGATTGCATTCCATTGGATTTCATTCTATTCCAAACTATTTCTTTGCAATCCATTACATTCGAGTCAATTCTCCTGCAGTCCAGTCCATTAAGCTCCATTCCATTCGATTCCATTCCATTCGATTCCTTTCCACACTATTGCACTCCATTCTATTTGATTCTATTCGCGTGAATTCCACTAGAGTCCATTTCTTTTGATGCCGTTCTATTTAAGTGAATTCCATTTGAGTCCTTTACTTCTGAGTGCATTCCTTTCCATACTATTTCATGCCATTCCATTCTCTGTCATTCCATTCGATTCTATTCCATTTGTTTCCATTCCATTCCCTTTCATTCCTTTTGATGCCATTCCATTCGATTCTATTCCATTTGATAACATTCCATTCCATTCCGTTCCATACGATTCCATTCCATTCTATTCTTTTCCATTCTGTTTCATTCCATTCCATTCCATTCAGTTCCATTCCATTCGTTTACATTCCTTTTGAGTCCATTCCACTCCAGTCTACTGCATTTGAATCCATTCCACTCCAGTCCGTTCCGTTTGAGTCCATTAGATTCCAGTCTATTCCATTCGAGTGAATTCCATTCCAATCCATTGGATATATTTGCATTACAATCCATTGCATTCTATTCCTTTCGATTTCATTCAATTCCATTCCATTCGATTCCATTGCATTTGATTCCACACCTTTCAATTCCATTCCATTCTATTCCACTCCATTCCATTCCATTGCATTCCATTCTGTTCCATACGTTTGCACTGCATTCCATTCCTTTCCATTTCATTTCATTCCATTCGATTCCACTCCATTCGAATAAACTGCTTTGCAATCAATTACATTCGAGTCCATTCTATTCCTGTCCTTTCCATTCTGGTACATTCAATTTGATTCTACTCCATTGCATTCCATTACATACTATTTCAATCCATTCTTTTCCATTCTATTCGAATAAATTCCGCTTGATACCATTCCTTTTTGGTCCATTCTATGTGAGTCCATTCCATTCTTGTCCATTACATTTGGGCCCATTCCACTCCATTCCATTCCATTCCATGCCATTCCATTTGATTCAATTCCATTGGTGTCCATTCCATTCCATTCCATTCCATTCCATTCCATGCCATTCCATTTGAGTCCATTCCATTCCACTCCTTTCATTTCCATTACTTTCCATCCTATTCCATTCCATTCTATTTATTTCCATTACATTCCATTCCATATATTTCCATTCCATTCGAATCCATTCCACTCCATTCTAATCCATTTGAGTTCATTCCATTGTAGTCCATTCCATTTGAGTCCATTCCATTCCATTCCATTCGATATCATTCCATTAGATTCCATTCCATTCTATTCCTTTCGATTCCATTAAATAATATTCCATTTGATTCCATTCCATTCTATTCCATTCCATTCGACTTTTTTCCACTCGAGTCCATTCCATTCCATTCCATTCCGTTCCATTCTATTCCAATCCGTTCTATTCCATTTTGTTCCAGTCCGTTCCATTCGAGTACATTCAATTCCAGTTCACTCCAGTTGATTCCTTTCCATTCGATTATATTCCGTTCTATTCCATTCCACTCAATTCCACTCAGTTCCACTACATTGCATTCCATTATATTCCATTCCATTGCTTTCCATTTCACTACTTTTGATTTCATTCCATTCGATTCCATTCCATTCGAATCTAGTATGCAGCAGTCCATTATGTTCAAGTCCTATCTATTCCAGTCCATTCCGTTCAGGTCGATTGCATTCGTTTCCATTCCATTCGATTAAATTCCATTCGACACCATTCCTTTCAAGTCCATTCTATTTGAGTCCATTCCATTTGAGCCCATTACATTTGGGTCCATTCCATTCCATTCCATTCTTTCCTTTACATTCTATTCTATTCCATTCTATTCCATTTCATTCGAGACTATTCCATTCCATTCCATTCCATTCCATTCCATTCCATTCCATTCCATTCTATTCGATGTCATTCCAATGAATTTGATTCTATTCAACTCCATTTCATTCCATTCCGTTATATGCAATTCCATTTCATTCTATGCCTTTCCTTTCCATTCTAATTCATTCCCTTGGTTTCCATTCCATTAGAGTACATTTCACTCCAGTCCATTACATTGGAATCCATTCCATTCCAGTCCATTCCTTTCCATTCAATTCCATTCGATATGTTTCAATTACACTCCATTCCATTGCATTCGTTTCAATTCCATTCAATTCCATTCCTTTCAATACCATTGCATTAGTTTCCATTACATTCGACTCCATTCCTTTTGAGTCGGTTCTATTCCTTTCAATTCCGTTCCTTTCCATTCCATTCCATTCCGTTCTACTCCAATCCGTTGTATTCCATTTTGTTCCTTTCCATTTCATTCGTGTCATTTCCATTCCATTCTATTTCATTCAATTCCATTTCATTCGCTTCCATTCCATTTGATTCTGTTGAATTTGATTCCATTCCATTCGATTTCATTTCACTCGATTCCACTCCGTTCCATTGCATTGCATTCCATTCTATTGCATTTTTTGCATACCATTCCATTCCATTTGATTACATTACTTTGAATTCCATTCCATTCAAATCAATTGCATTCCAATCCAGTACATTCGAGTTCATTCTATTCCATTCCATTCCATTCCAATCCATTCCATTCATTTCCTTTCAATTACATTCCATATTATTGCAGTCCATTCGATTTCTATTCGAATAAATTCCTTTCAAGACCTTTCCTTTTGAGTCCATTCCATATGAATCAATTCCATTAGAGCTCAGTACATTTGGGTTCATTTCATTCCATTCCATTCGAATCCATTCCATTCCATTTGATGCCATTCCATTCGATTTTATTCCATTCTACTCCTTTCCATTCCAATTGATTCCATTCCTTTATATTCCTTTCTATTACATCCCATTCCATTCCATTCCATTCCTTCCCATTCGTTAACGTTCCATTCGAGTCCATTCCACTCCAGTCCATTCCATTCAAATACATTCCATTCCATTCCACTCCATTCCATTCCCTTCTGTTCCATTCAGTTTGATTCCAATCCTTTTGATTCCTATTTGTTCCAGTCCATTCCATCGCTCTACCATCCGTTCGATTCCATTCCATTGGATTGCATTCCATACTATTTTATCCCATTCTTTTCTGTTCTATTCGAATAAATTCCATTTGAGACCATTTCTTTCGAGTCAATTCTATTTGAATCCATTGCATTTGAATCCTTTTCATTTGGGTATATTCCATTCCATTACATTCCATGATATTACATTCCATTTTATGCCATTCCGTTCGATTCGTTAACACTCGAGTCAATTCCATTCACATCCTTTCCATTCCATTATATTCCGTTATTTGCCATTACATTCGATTTTATTCCATTCCACTCCATTCCATTCCATTCCATTCCTTCAGCTTCCATTACATTGTATTCCTTTCCTTTCAATTCCATTCCATTCCATCCCATTGGTTTCCATTCCATTCGAGTACATTCCCCTTCAGTGAATTCCATTCAAGTCCATTGAATTCCCGTCCATTCCATTCCAGTCCATTCTATTCCATTCCATTACACTCTATATCTTTCCATTACACTCTATTCCATTGTATTCATTTCTATTCCATTCAGTTGCATTCCATTCGATTCCATTCCATTCAATTCCTTTCCATTTGACTATTTTCCATTCGAATCCATTCCATTCCATTCCGTTCCGTTCCGTTCCGTTCCGTTGAATTCAAATCCATACGATTCCATTATTTTTCCATTCCATTTCATTCGAGTCCATTCCAATCCAGTCCATTCCAATCGATTCCATTCCGTTCTTTCCACTGCATTCGTTTCTATTCTATTCCATTGCATTCCACTCCATTCCTTTTGATTTCATCCCATTTGATTCAATTCAATTCGAATCAATTTCATTGCAATCTATTACATTCATGTCCGTTCTATTCCACTCTATTCAATTCTGGTACATTCCATTAGATTCCATTCCATTCAATTCCTTTCGATACTATTGCAATACATTCGATTCCAGCCTATATGAAGAAAATCCATTCGAGATTATTTTTTTCGAGTCCATTCTATTTGAGTCGATTCCCTTCGAGTCCATTATATTTTGTCCATCCGTTTCCATTCCATTCCATTGCATTCGATGCAATTCCATTCGATTCCATTCCACTAGAATCAATTCCTTTCAGTCCATTCCATTCCATACCTTTCCATTCCATTCAATGCCATCCCATAAGATTCTTTGCCATTACACTCCATTCGATTCCATTCCATCGAATTCCATTCCATTCTATTCCTTTCCATTACGCTCCAATCCATTCCATTCCATTCGTTTCCTTTCCATTCGAGTCCACCCCACTCCACTCCTTTCCATTCAATTTCATTCCATTTCAGTCCATTCCATTCGAGTCCAATCCATTTCATTTCATTCCATTCGATATATTTCCATTACACTCCATTCTATTCTATTCCATTCCATTCCATTCAAATCCATTTCATTCTCTTCAATTCCTTTGAATTCCATTGCATTCGATTCCATTCCATTCAACTCCATTCCATGCAAGTCCATTCCACTCCATTACATTTCTTTCCATTCAGTTCGATTCCAGTCTTTTTGATTCCATTTTGTTCCAGTCCATTCCATTTTGTTCCATTCCATTGCAGTGCATTCCATTCTATTCCATTACATTGCATTCCACTCTTTTCCGTTTGATTCCATTCCATTAGATTCCATTCCATTCGAATCAATTACATTGCAATCCATTACATGAGGGTCTGTTCTATTCCAGTCTATTCCATTCCTGTTCATTCCATTCGATTCTATTCCATTCAATTCTATTCCATACTATTGCATTACATTCTATTTCATTCTATTCGAATAAATTGCATTTGAAACAATTCCTTTAGAGTCCATTCTATTTAAGTCTATTCCATTCGATTCCATTACATTTGGTTCCATTCCCTTCCATATCATTCCATTCCATTCTGTTCGATGCCATTCCATTCTATTACATTCCGTTCCAGGCCATTCAATTCGAATCCATTCCATTCCATTCAATTCCATTCCATTTTTCCATTTTATGTCAGTCTATTAGATTCTATTCCATACGACTGCATTCCATTCCTTTCCATTCTATCAGATTCCATTCCATTCTATTGCATTCATTTCCATTCCATTCCATTCCATTCCTTTCGTTTCCATTAAATTCTAGTCCATTCCACTCCAGTTCATTTCATTCGAGTCCATTCCACTCACGTATATAACTTTTGATTCCATTCTTTTCCTGTCAATTCCATTCGAGTCCATTTCATTCCATTTCATTCCATTTGATTTCGTTCCATTACACTCCATACCATTCAATTCCTTTAATTCCTTTCAATTCCATTTCTTCCAATGCTATTCTATTCAATTCCATAGCTTTCGACTCCATTCCGTTCGAGTTCTTTCCATTCCAGTCCATGCCATGTGAGTCCATTCCATTCCATTCCGTTCCATTCGATATCTTTCAATTACACTGAATTCCAATCTATTCCTTTTGATTCCATTCAATTCCAACCCATTCAATTACATTCCATTCAATTCCATTCCAATTAACTCCATTCCATTCGAGTCCATTTCACTCCATTCCGTTTGGTTCGATTCCACTCAATTAGATTCCTTTCCATTCAATTCCTTTGCATACCATTCCATTCCATTCCTTTTGTTTCCATTCTTTCAAGTCCATTCCACTGCAGTACATTCCATTCGTGTCCATTCTATTCCAGTCGATTCCATGTGATTCCATTCCATTCCACTCCATTCTATTTGATAACATTTCATTACAATCCTTTCCAATCTATTCCTTTTGGTTCCGTTCTACTCCATTCCATTCGTTTCCATTCCAATTGATTCCATTCCATTCGACTCCATTCCATTCGATTCGATTCCATTCCTTTCCGTTCCATTCAATTCCAATCGTTCGATTCCGTTTTGTTCCAATCCATTCGATTCGAGTCCATTCCTTCCCAATACATTTTATTCAATTCCAATCTATTCAATTCCATTCAATTAGATTCCATTCCAATCGATTCCTTTCTATTCCATTCCATTTAATTGCATTCCATTCCATTCCATTCCATTGCATTCCATTCCATTCCATTCCGTTGGTTTATATTCCGTTCAATTCCATTCAATTCGAATCAATTTCATTGCAATGCATTACATTCATTTCCATTCTATTCCTGTCCTTTTCTTTCCGGTCCATTCCATTCAATTCCATTCCATACGATTCCATTCCATTCGATTCCAATCCATTTGAATCAATTACATTGCAATCCATGACGTTCGAGTCCGTTCTATTCCAGTCCATTCCATTCTGGTACATTCCATTCAATTACATTTTATTTGATTCCATTGCATATTATTGCATTCCTTTCAGTTACATTGTATTCGAATAACTTCCATTCGAGACCATGACTTTTAACTCCATTCTTTTGAGTCCATTCGTTTCTAGTAAATTATATTTTGGGCCATTCCATTCCATTCCATTCCATTGCATTCCATTTGATGCCATTCCATTCAATTCTATTCCATTTGACACCATTCCATTCCATTCCATTCCATTCCATTCCATTCCATTCCATTCCATTCCATCTGATTTCATTCCATTCTATGCCTTTCCATTCCATTCCATTAGTTTTCATTCCTTTAGAGTCCATTTCACTCCAGTCCATTCCATTCGCATCCATTCCATTGCAGCCCATTCCTTTAGGGTCCATTTCATTCCATTCTATCCCATTCCATATATTTCCTTTACACTCCATTCCATTCTATTTCTTTCAATTACATTCAATTCATTTCAATTGGATTCCATTGCATTACTTTCCATTCCTTTAGACTCCATTTGATTCGAGTCCATTCCATTACATTCTATTCCATTCCATTCCATTCCATTCCTTTCCGTTCTACTCCAGTCCGTTCTCTTCCATTTCGTTCCCATCCATTTCATTCTTGTCCTTTCCATTCCATTTCATTCTATTCAATTCCATTCCATTCGTTTACATTCTATTCGATTCCATTCCATTCAATTGGATTCCATTCCATTTGAGGCCATTCCTTTCGTTTTTATTCCATTTGACACCATTCTATTCCATTCCATTATATCTGATTCCATTTCATTATATGTCTTTCCATTCTATTCCATTCGTTTCCATTCCATTAGAGTCCATTTAACTCCAGTACATTCCATT
Organism: Homo sapiens; assembly: GCF_000001405.40. NCBI lineage: Eukaryota > Metazoa > Chordata > Mammalia > Primates > Hominidae > Homo > Homo sapiens. The sequence goes on along the minus strand of NC_000024.10, from coordinate 11,513,211 downwards.
CGCATCCAATCCATTCCAGCCCTTTCCTTTAGGGTCCATTTCATTCCATTCTATCCTATTCGATATATTTCCATTAAAATCCATTCCATTCTTTTCCTTTCATTTCCATTCAATTCATTTCCAGTCGATTCCATCGCATTACTTTCCATTGCATTATACTCGATTTGATTCGAGTCCATTCCATTCAATTCTGTTCTACTCCATTCCGATCGGTTCCAGTTTTTTTCCTGTCCATTTCATTCGTGTCCTTTCTATTCGATTCCATTCTGTTCAATTCCATTCCATTCGTTTCCACTCCATTTGATTCCATTCCATTTGATTCCATTCCATTCGATTCCATTCCACTTGATTCCACTGCGTTTCATTCCAATGCATTCCATTCTATTGCATTCCATTGCATACCCTTCCTTTCCATTTGATTACATTACATTTGATTCCATTCCATTCCAATCAATTGCATTGTAATCCAGTATATTCATGTCCTTTCTATTCCATTCCATTGTATTCCATTTCATTCCATTCTATTCCGCTCCATTCTATTACGTTCCATACTATTGCAGTCCATTCGATTACATTCTGTTCCCATAAATTCCTTTGAAGACCATTCCTTTTGAGTCCATTCTATTTGAGTCCTTTCCATTACAGCCTAGTACTTTTGGGTCCATTTCATTCCATTCCATTCCAATCCATTCCATTCGATTCCATTCAATGCCATTCCATTTGAATCTATTCCATTCAAAGCCATTCTATTACATTCCATCTGAAACAATTCCATTATATTCCTTTGCATTCCATTCCATCCCTTTCCATTCCATTCGTTTCCATTCCATTCGTCTCCATTCCACTCCAGTCCATTCCATTTGAGACCATTCCATTACATTCCATTCCACTCAATTCCATTCCCTTCCATTCTGTTCAGTTCGATTTCAATCTGTTCGATTCCATTTTTTCCAGTTCATTCCATTGCGCTATATTCTGTTCAATTCCATTCCTTTCTATTGCAATCCATACTATTGCTTCCCATTCTTTTAGATTCTATTCGAATATATTCCATTCGAGATCAATTCTTTCGAGTCCATTCTATTTGAATCCATTGCTTTCGAGTTCATTACTTTTGGGTCCATTCCATTCCATTCCATTCCAATCCATTCGATGCCATTCCTTTTGATTCTATTCAACCTGAGTGTGTTCCATTCTAGTCCATTCCATTCCATTCGATGCCATTCCATTAGATTCTATTCCGCTCAACTCCATTCCCTTCCATTCCATTCCATCCGATTCAATTCCATTCCTTTCCTTTTGTTGCCATTCAATTCCATTCCCTTCCTTCACATTCGTTTCCATTCCATTTGAGTTCTTTCCACTACAATGCATTCCTTCCCAGTCCCTTCCAGACCAGTCCATTCCATTCGTGTCCATTCGATTCCATTCCATTCCATTCCATTCTATATCATTCCATTACACTCCATTCAATTCCATTATATTCGGTTCCATTCAGTTGCATTCCATTCGATTCCATTCCATTCGAGTACATCCCATTCGAGTCCACTCCATTCAATTCCATTCCGTTCTGTTCCATTTGATTCCAATCCTTACGATTCCATTTACTTCAAGTCCATTCCATTCGAGTCCATTCCATTCTATTCCTTTCCATTTGATTCCATTCCACTCGATTCCACTGAATTCCATTCCATTGCATTCCATTCTATTCCATTCAATTGCATTGAATTCCATTCCATTTGATTACATTCCATTCGATTTAATTCCATTCGAATCAATTTCATTGCAATCCATTATATTCTTGCCCATTCTTTTCCTCTCCATTCCATTCTGGTACATTCCATTCGATTCCATTCCATTCAATTCTTTTCGATCCTATTACAATACTTTCGATTCCATTTGTTACGAATAAAATCCATTCGAAACCCTTTTTTTTCAAGTCCATTGTATTTGAGTCCGTTCCGTTTGAGTCCATTACATTTGGGTCCATTCCATTCCATTCCTTTCCATTCCATTATATTCCATTCCATTCCATTTGATGCCGTTCTACTCGACTCTATTCCATTTGAATCCATTCCATTTGATTTCATTCCATTCCACTCCCTTCCATTCCACTCAATCCGATTCCATTCGATTCTATTCCATTCGATTCCATTCCATTCGACCCCATACAGTTCGACTCCATTCCATTCCATTCTATTTCATTCCATTCAGTTCGATTCCAATCTGTTCAATTCCATTTTGTTGCAGTCCATTCCATTTGATTCCTTTCCATTCCAGTGCATTGCATTCGATTCCATTCCTTTTGATTCCACTGAACTCGATTGCACTCCATTTCATTACACTGCTTTCCATTCTATTCCATTCCATTGCCTTCCATTCCATTACATTTGATTATATTCCATTCAATTCCATTCCATTCGAATCAATTTCATTGGAACCCATAACATTCGAGTCCGTTGTATACCAATCCATTCCATTCTGGTACATTCAATTTGATTCCATTATTTTAGATTGCAATCCATTCTATTACCTTCCATTTGATTACATTCTAATTGAATAAATACATTCGAAACCCTTCCTTTTGAGTCCATTCTATTTGAGTGCATTCCATTTGAGTCCAATATATTTGGGTCCTTTCCATTCCAATCCATTCCATACCATTCCATTCCATTCCATTCGATGCTATTCCATTCGATTCTATTCCATACGAATCCATCCCATTTGTTTCCACTCCACTCCATTCCACTCCATTCAATTCAATGCCATTCCATTCTATTCTATTCCATTCGACTCCATTCCATTCCATCCAATTCCGTTCCATTCTATTCCTTTCCATTAATTCCATTCAATTCCTTTCCTTTCGTTTACTTTGCATTCGAGTCCATTCCACTCCAGTCCATTCCCTTCAAGACCATTCCAATCAACTCCTGACCATTTGAGTCAATTACATTCCATTCCATTCGATGTCTTTCCATTATACTGCATTCCATTCTATTCTTTTCGATTCCCTTCAATTTCATTCCATTCGATTCCATTCCATACTATTGCATTTTATTCAATTCCATTGTATTTGAATAAATTCCATTCGCTACCTTTCCTTTCGATTCCATTCTCTTTGAGTCTATTAAATTGGATCCAGTGTATTCCATTCCATTCCATTCCATTCCACTCTATTCCATTCTGTTCTACTCCGTTTTTTCCCTGTCTAATCCATTCGAGTCCATTACATTCCGGTCAATTCCACTCGATTGCATTCCATTTGATTCTATTCCATTCAATTCCATTCCACTCATTTCCACTCCATTCCTTTCCTTTGCATTCCATGGACTTCCATTCCATTGCATTACAATCTATTCCGTGTGATTACTTTCCATTTAATTCCATTCCATTTGATTCCATTCCATAGTGTTGCATTCCATTAGATTCCATTCCATTCGAATAAATTCCATTCGAGACCAATCCTTTTGGAGTCCATTCTATTTGAGTACATCACATGTGTGTCCAGTCCATTCCATTCCATTCCTTTACATTCCATCCCATTCCATTGCATTTCATGCCATTAAATTCGATTCTATTCCATTTGAGTACGTTGCATTTCAATCCAATCCATTCCATTCAATTCCATGCCATTTGATGTATTCGATTCTATTCAATTTGAGTCCATTGCATTTCAATCCAATCCATTCCATTCCCTTCCATTCGAAACCATTCCATTTTATTTTATCCCATTCGAGTCTATTGCATTGGAATCCAATCCATTCCATTCCATTCCATTTCATTCCATCCCATGCGAAACCATTCCATTGTATTCAATTGCATTCTACTGCATTCCATTCCATTCCGTTCCATCCGTTTCCGTTCCATTCTTTTCCTTTGCATGCAATTTCATTCCTATTCATTCAATTCCATTCGTTTCCAATTCATTCGTGTCCATTCCACTCCATTCCTTTCCATTCGCGTCCATTCCACTCTTGTCCAATCCATTTGATTCCATTCCATTCCATTCAATATCTTTCCACTACACTCCATTCCATTCTATTCCTTTTGAATCCACTCAATTCCATTACATTCGATTCCATTCCAATCGGTTACATTCCATTCAACTCCATTACTTTCAAGTCCTTTCCATTCCATTTCATTCCATTCCATTCCATTCCATTCCATTCCATTCCATTCCATTCCATTCCTTTCTGTTCGATTCCAATCCGTTCCATTCCATTTTGTTCCAGTGCATTCCATGCGTGTCCACTCCATTCCACTCCATTCCATTTGATTTGGTTCCATTCGACTCCATCCCATTAGAGTCCATTCCATTCTATTCTATTTCATTCCATTCAGTTCGATTCCAATCTGTTCAGTTCCATTTTGTTGCAGTCCATTCCATTGGATTCCTTTCCATTCCAGTCCATTCCATTCGATTCCATTCCATTCGATTCCATTCCACACTATTCTACTCTGTTTCATTCCATTGCATTGCATTCTATTCCATTCCATTGCATTCCATTCCATTCCATTTGATTACATTCCATTTGATTCCATTTCATTCGAAACTATTACATTGCAATCCATGAGAGTCCGTTCAATTCCATTCCAGTCCATTCCATTCTATTCTATTCGATTCCATTCCATTCTATTACATTCCATAATATTACATTACATTCGATTCCATTCTATTCGAATAAAATCTGTTCGAAACCATTCCCTTCATGTTCATTCTATTTAAGTACATTCCATTAGACTCCATTACATTTGGTTCCTTTCCCTTCCATCCCATTCCATTCCATTCCACTCGATGCCATTCCATTCAATTATATTCTGTTCGAATCCATTTCATTTGAGTCCATTCCATTCTAGTCTTTCCATCCTATGCCTTTCCATTAGATTCTATTCCATGCGTCTGCATTCCATTCCTTTCTGTTCTATAAGGTTCCATTTCATAGTATTCCATTCCATTCCATTCCATTCCTTCATTTCAATTCGATTCTAGTACATTCCACTCCAGTCCATTTCATTCGAGTCCATTCCACTCCAGTCCATTCCATTCAAGTCCATTCAATTCCAGTCCATTCCATTCCATTCCATATGATATATTTCTTTTTCACTCCATTCCTTTCTATTCCTTTAATTCCTTTCAATTTCATTCCTTTCAATTTCATTACATTCGATTCCATTCCTTTCGACTCCATTTGATTCGAGTTCATTCCTTTCCAGTCTATGCCATTCGAGTCCATTCCATTCCATTCGTTTCCATTCCATTCCATTCCATTCAATTCCAGTTCCTTCCATTGCACCTCATTCTATTCTATAACTTTCGATTCCTTTCAATTCCATTTCATTCGATTCAATTCCATTTAATTCCAATCCATTCAATTGCATTCCATTCGACCCCATTCCATTCGAGTCCATTCCATTCCATTCGTTTCCATTCAATTTCGTTCCGTTCGTTTCCAATCCATTCTATTCCAATTTATTCCAGTCCATTCCATTCAACTCCATTCCACTCGGTTCCATTCCACTCGATTCCATTCCATTCGATTCCATTCAACTTAATTCCACTCTGTTCCATTCCATTTCATTTCTTTCAATTCCATTGCATTGCATTCCATTCCATTACTTTTGATTATATTCCTTTCGATTCCATTTGAATCCGTTACATTGCAATATGTAACAATCGAGTCCGTTCTATTCCATTCCATTCCATTCCGGTCCATTCCATTCGTTTCCATTCCATTCGATTCCTTTCCATACTATTGCATTCCATCCTATTCCCGTCTATTCATATTAATTACATTCGAGACCATTCTTTTCATATCCATTCTATTTGTGTCCATTCCATTTGACTCCATTAAATTTGGGTCCATTCTATTCCATTCCATTAAATTCGATGTCATTCCATTTGATTTTATTCCGTTTGTCTAGATTGAATTCCATTCCATTCCATTCCATTCTGTTCCATCTGATTCCTTTCCATTCCATTCCTTTCCGCTCCATCCGGTTTCCATTCCATTCTATTCCTTTCCTTTACATTCCATTTATTTCCTTTCTTTCGAGTCCATTCCACTCCACTCTATTTCATTCGAATCCGTTCCATTGCAGTCCATTCCATTCGAGACCATTCCTTTCCATTCCATTCCATTCGATATATTTCCATTACACTCTATTCAATTATTTTCCTTTTGATTCCAATCAATTCCATTCCATTTGATTCCACTGTATTTGAATCCATTCCATTCCATTCCATTCAATTCCTTTCCTTTGCCTTTGATTCCAATCCGTTCAATTCCGGTTTTTTCCAGTCTATTGCATTACAGTCCATTCCATTCAAGCCCAATCTATTCGATTCCATTCCATTCGTTCCCATTCCAATCAATTCCACTCTGTTCAATTCCATTGCATTCCATTCTATTCCATTCCATTTTATTCCATTCCATTTCGTTGATTATGTTCCATTCGACTAAATTCCTTTTGAATAAATTACTTTGCAATACATTGCATTCGGGTCTGTACTTTTCCAGGCCATTCCATTCCTCTCAATTCCATTCGATTCTATTTCATTCGATTACGTACCATACTATTGCATTCCATTCAACTCCATTCTATTCGAATAAATTCTATTCAAGTCCATCCTTTTGTTTCCATTCTATATCAATCCATTCCATTCGAGTCCATTCCGTTTCAGTCCACTATATTACATTCCATTCCATTCGAGGCCATTCCAAATGATTCTATTACATTTGACTCCATTCAATTACATTCCATTCCAACCGATTCCATTCCATTCGATTGTTTCCATTCCATTAAATTCCATTCCATTCCATTCCATTCCATTCCATTCCATTCCATTCCTTTCGTTTGCATTCCATTCTAGTCCATTGCACTCCAGTCCATACCATTCGAGTCCATTCCATTCCAGTATATTCCATCCGAGTCCATTGCATTCCATTCCATTCGATTTATTTCCATTACCCTCCATTCCATTATATTCCTTTCTATGTCATTGAATTCCATTATATTCCATTCCATTCGATTCCATTCCATTCGACTACATTACATTCAACTCAATTCCATTCAATTCTATTCCATTCCATTCCCTTCTGTTCAATTCCAGTCTGTACGATTTGATTTTTTTCTAGTCAAAACCATTCGAGTCCATTACATTCCAGTCCATTCCAATCAATTCCATTCCATCCGATTCCATTCCTTTTGATTTCATTACACTCGATTCCACTCCTTTCCATTCCACTGCATTCCACTCTATTCCATTCTATTGCCTTCCATTCCATTACATTTTATTATATTCCATTCAATTCCATTCCATTCAAAGCAATTACTTTGGAATCCATTACATTCGAGTCCGTTCTATTACAGTCCCTTCCATTCCATTCCATTCAATTCTATTCCATTATCTTCGATTCCATTCCATTCTATTGTATTCCGTTCGATTACATTCTAATAGAATAAATTCATTTGAAACCATTCCTTTTGAATCAATTCTATTTGAGTGCATTCCATTTGAGTCCAATATATTTGGGTCCTTTCCATTCCATTCCATTGAATTCCATTCCATTCCATTGCATTCCATTCCATTCCATGCCATTCCATTCGATTCTATTCCATTCGAATCCATCCCTTTCATAACCATTCTATTCCCTTCCACTCCATTCTATTCAATGCCACTCCATTCTATTCTCTTCCATTCGACTCCATTCCATTCCATTCCATTCCATCTAATTCCTTTCCATTGTATTCCTTTCCATTCCATTCCATTCATTTCCTTTCTATTCTTTTACTTTCCATTCGAATCCATTCCACACTAGTCCATTCCATTCAAAACCATTCCATTAACGTCCTGTCCATTTGAGTCCATTCCATTACATTCCATTCAATATCTTTCCATTACACTGCATTCCATTCTATTTCTTTCGATTGCAATCAATTCCATTCCATTCTATTCCATTCCATACTATTGCATTTTATTCAATTCCATTGTATTCGAATAAATTCCATTCGCTGCCATTCTTTTCGAGTACATTGTATTAGAGTCTATTACCTTTAGGTCCATTCTATTCCATTCCATTACATTCCATTCCATATGATTCCGTTCCATTAGAATCCATTCCACTCGATTTAACTCCGTTCCATTCAAATGCCTTCCATTTGCTTTCATTCCGCTGCATTCCATTCCATTCCATTTGATTACATTGCGTTCGATTCCATTCCATTCGAATCAGTTACCTTGCAATCCATTGCATTCGTGTCCGTTATTTTCCAGTCCATTCCATTCCGGTCCATTCCCAGCGACTCCATTCCATTCCATTCAATTCCATTCTATTCCATTCCATTCGATTCCATTCTATTTGTATAAACCCCATTCAAGACCATTCCTTTCGAGTCCATTCTATTTGAGTCAATTCCATTCGAGTCCATTACATTTGGGTCCATTCCATTAAATTCCATTCCATTTCATTTGATCCCATCCCATTTGATTGTATTCCATTCCAATCCTTTTAATTCTATTCTGTTCCATATAATTACATTCTATTATATTGATTTCCTTTTCATTCCATTCCACTCCTTTCCATTACATTCCATTCTTTTCTATTCCATTCCATTCCATTCCATTCCACTCCTTTCCATTACATTCCATTCGTTTCCATTCCATTCGAGTCCATTCAACAACAGTCCATTACATTCGTATCCATTCTTTTCGATTTCTTTCCATACACTCCATTCCATTGTATTCCTTTCGATTCCATTCAATTCCGTTGTATATCATTCCATTCCATTCGACTGCATTCCATTCGACTCCATTCCATTATAGTGCATTCCATGCAATACCATTCCGTTATGTTTGAATCAAATCTGTTCGATTCCATTTTGTTCAATTCCTATCCATTGGAGTCCACAACTGTCCAATCCATTCCAATCGATTCCATTCCTTTCAATTTCATGCCACTCGATTCCATTCCACTCGATTCTACTCGTTTCCATTCCTTTGCATTTCATTCTGTTCCATTCAATTGCATTCAATTCCATTCCTTTTGATTACATTCCATTTGATTCCATTCAGTTTGAATCAATTACATTGGAGTACATTACCTTCTAGTCCATTCTATTCCAGTCCATTCAATTCCGGTCCATTACATTCAACTCCATTCCATTCTATTTCATTCCATACTATTGCATTGCATTCAATTCCATTCTATTCGAATAAATTCCATTCGAGTCCATTCCTTTCAAGTTCATTCTATTTGATTCCATTGCATTTGAGAACATTACATTTGTTTCTATTCCGTTCCATTCCATTCCATTCCATTCGATGCCATTCCAGTATATTCTGTTCCATTCTAGTCCATTCCATTCGAATGCGTTCTATTCCATTAAATTCCATTCCATTCAAACACATTCCATTGGATTCTATTCCAATCGACTGCATTCTATTCCATTCCGTTCCATCCAATTCCATTCCATGCTATTCCTTTACTTTCCATTGCATTCCATTCCATTCCATGTCATTCCATTCGTTTCCATTCAATTCGAGTCCATTCCTCTCCAGTCCATTCCATTCCACATCATTAATTTCCAGTCCATTCCATTCTATTACATTCCATTCGATTCCATTCCATTCGATTCCACTTCGTTCCATTCCATTGCATTACATTCTATTCGATCCCATTGCCTTCCACTCCATTCCAATTGTTTACATTCCATTCGATTCCATTTCATTCAAATCAATTACATTGCAATGCATTACTTTCGAGTCCGTTCTATTCCAGTACATTCCATTCCGGTCCATTACATTCTCCTCCATTACATTCCTTTCCATTCTATGCTATTGCATTCTATTCTATTCCATTCTATTCATATAAATTACTTTCGAGACCATTTCTTTTGGGGTCATTCTATTTGAGTCCATTCCATTACATCCCATTACATTAGTGTCCATTCCATTACAATCCATTTCATTCCATGTCACTCCATTCAATTCTATTCCCTTTGAGTCCATTCAATTCCATTTGATGCCATTGCATTCGATTCTATTCCATTCGACTCCATTCCATTCCATTCCGTTCCATCCGATTCCATTCCATTCTAATTCTTTCCATTACACTTCATTCCATTCCATTCCATTCCTTTCCATTCCATTTCATTCAATTCGTCTCCATTCCACTCGGGGCCATTCTACTCCAGTCCCTTCCATTCGAGTCCATTCCATTGCAGTCCATTCCTTTCGAGTCCATTCCATTCCATTTGATATGTTTCTGTTACACTCCTTTCCTTTCTATTCCTTTTGATTCCATTTAATTCCATTCCATCCGCTTCCCTTCCATTCTATTCCTTTCCGTTCTACTCCTTTGAACACTACTCCATTCCATTCCATTCGTTTCCATTGCATTCGAGTCCATTCAACTCCAGTCCATGACATTCAAGTCCATTTAATTCCGATACATTCTATTCGAGTCCATTCCATTCCATTCCATTCGATTTCTTTCCATTACACTCTATTCCATTCTATACTTTCAATTCCATTCCAGTCCATTCCATTCGATTTCATTCCATTTGACTCCATTAAATTCGACTCCATTCCTTTTGAGTCTATTCCATTCCATTCCATTCCATTTCGTTCCATTCCATTCCATTAGATTCCAATCTGTTCGACACCATTTTTTTCCTGTTTAATCCATTCGAGTCCATTACATTCCAGTCAATTCCATTCGATTTCATTCCATTTAATACCATTCCATTCGACTCCATTGCACTCAATTCCACTCCTTTCTTTTCTTTTGCATTCCACTGAATTCCATTCCTTTGCATTCCAATCCATTCAGATTGATTACATTTCATTCAATTCCATTCCATTTGATTCCATTCCGTAGTATTGCATTCCATTAGATTCCATTCTATTGGAATAAATTCCATTCGAGACCAATCCTTTTGGAGTCCATTCTATTTGAGTCCATTACATTTCAATACATTACATTTGTGTCCATTCCATTCCGTTCTTTCCTTTCCATTCCATTCCATTCCTTTGCATTTCATGCCAGTATATTCAATTCTATTCCATTCCATTCAAGTCCATTGCATTTCAATCCAATCCATTCCATTCGATTCCATGCCATTCGATGCCATTCCATTCGATTCTATTCCATTTGAGTCCATTGCATTTGAATCGAATCCATTCCATTATTTTCCATTTCAATGCATTCCATTCTAAACCAGTCCATTGTGTTCTATTCCTTTCGAGTCCATTGCATTTGAATCCAGTCCCATTTCATTCTATTCCTTTTGAAACCATTGCATGGTATTCTATTCCATTCTACTGCATTCCATTCCATTCCGTTCCATCCGATTCCATTCCATTCTATTCCTATGGATGCAATTGCATTCCTTTTCGTTCAATTCCATTCGTTTCCAATTCATTCGTGTCCAATCCACTCCAGTCCCTTGCATTAGCGTACATTCCACTCCTGTCCAATTCATTTGAGTCCATTCCATTCCATTCCATTCAATATCTTTCCATTACACTCTATTCCATTCTCTTCCTTTTGAATCCTTTCAATTCCATTCTATTCGGTTCCATTCCAATCGGTTCCGTTCCATTCATATCCATTCCGTTGAAGTCCATTCCATTCCATTCCATTCCGTTCCATTCCATTCCTTTCTGTTCGATTCAAATCCGTTCCATTGCATTTTCTTCCAGTGCGAGTCCATTCCATTCCACTCCAGTCTGTTCGATTCCATTCCGTTCGATTCCTTTCCATTCGATTCCATTCCACTCGATGCCACACTGTTCCTTTCCTTTGCATTCCATTCTACTACTTTCCATTGCATTCCATTCCATTCCATTTGATTAAGTTCCATTCGATTCCATTCCATTCGAATCAATTACATTAAAATCCATTACCTTTGAGTCCATTCTATTCCAGTTCACTCCATTCAATTCCATTTCATTCCATTCGATATTTTTGCATTAAATTCGATTTCATTTTATTCGGACAAATTCCATTCGATACCATTTCTTTCAAGTCCATTCTATTTGATTCCACTTCATTTGAATCCTGTACATTTGGGTCCATTCCATTCCACTCCATTCCATTTGATGCTGTTCCATTCTATTCCATTCCATACGACTCCATTCTATTCCATTTTGTTCCATCCGAGTTAATTCCATTCTATTCCTTTCCATTCCATTCAATTCCCTTCTTTCCCATTCCATTTCTGACTGTTCCACTCCATTGCATTACATTCGAATCCATTCAATTTCAATCCATCCCATTCGAGCACATTCCATTCCATTCCTTTCCATTCAATATCTATCCATTACTCTCCATTCAATTATATTCCTTTTGATTACATTCAATTCCATTCCATTCTATTCCATTAAATTCGGTATAATTCCATTGAACTCCATTCCAATAGAGTTCATTCCATTCCATTTCATTCCTTTCCATTCGATTCCAATTCCTTCTATTCCATTTGTTCCAGTCTTTTCCATTGGAGTCCATTCCATTCCAGTCCATTCCATCCAATTCCATTTCATTCGATTCCATTCCATGTGATTCCATTCCACTTGAATCCACTCCATTCCATTACATTGCATTCCATTCTATTCCGCTCAATTGCATTCCATTACATACCGTTAGATTTCATTCCATTTGATTCCATTCCATTTTTATCAATTACGTTGCAATACAGTCCATTCTATTGCAGTCCATTCCATTCCGGTCTATTACATTTTATCACATTCCATTCGATTCCTTTCCATACTATTGCATTCCTTTCGATTCGATTCAATTCTAATAGATACCATGCGAAACCATTCCTTATGAGTGTATTATATTTGCGTACGTTCCTTTCGAGTCCATCACATTTGGGTCCATTAAAATCCATTCCATTTCATTCCATTCTATTACATTCCTTTGCATTCCTTTCCATTCCATTTCTTTACGTTCCATTCGATTCGAATCAATTACATTGCATTCCATTACATTCGAGTCCGTTCCGTTCCAGTCCATTCCATTCCGGTCCATTCCACTTGATTCCATTCCTTTCGATTCCATTTCATATTATTTCATTCCTTTCAATTCCATTCTATTCGAAAAAATTCCATTCGAGACCATTCCTTTTAAGTCCAATATATTTGAGTCCATTCCATTCGAGTCCATTTCATTTGGGTCCATTAGATTCCATTCTTTTCCATTCGAAGTCATTTCATTCTATTCTATTCCATTCCATTTGAATAAGTTCCATTCGAGTTCATTCCATTCAATTCCATTCCGTTTGATGCCATTCCTTTCGATTTTATTCCTTTCGACTCCATTGCATTCCATTAAGTTCCATCCGATTCCATTCTATTCCTTTCAATTCCAGTACCTTCCATTCCACTCGTTTCCATTCCATTCGAGTCAATTCCACTCCAGTCGGTTCCATTCGATTCCACTCCATTCCATTCCTTTCGACGCCATTGCTTTCTGTTCTATGCCATTGGACTCCATTCCATTCCATTCTATTGCAACCTATTCCATTCCTTTCTATTCCTTTCCATTCCGTTCCATTCCATTCCATTCCATTCCATTCCATTCCATATCATTCCGTTTGCTTCCATTCCATTCTAATCCATTCCCCTCCAGGCCATTCCACTGGAGTCCATTCCATTACCGACATTTCCATTTGAGCCCATTCCATTCCATTCCATTCCATTAGATATCTTCCATTACACTCCATTCAATTCTATTCCCTTTGATTCCATTCAATTCCTTTCTATTCTATTCCATTCCAATCTATTCCACTCAATTCGACCACTTTTCATTCCTGTCCATTCCATTTGAATCCATTAAATTCCTTTCTATTCCATTCAATGCCTTTCCATTACACTCCATTCCATTCTGTTCCTTTTGATTCCATTCAGTTTCATTCCATTCAGTTCCATTCCTTTCGATTCCATTCTACTCGAGTTCATTCCATTCTATTCCATTTTTTTCCTTTCCATTCAGTTCAAATGCATTCGATTCCATGTTGTTCCAGTCCTATCCATTCGAGTCCATTCCCTATCAGTCCATTAAATAGCAGTCAATTCCAATCGATTCCATTCCATTCGGTTCCATTGCATTTGATTCCACTCCGTTCAATTCCATTGCAATCCAGTTTATTCCATTCCGTTGCATTCCATGCCATTACATTTGATTAAATCTCATTCAATTCCATTCCATTTTAATAAATTACATTGCAATCCATTACATTCTGGTCCGTTTTACTCCATTCCATTCCATTCCATTCCATTTCACTTTATTGAATTCCATTCGATTCCAGTCCATACTATTGTATTCCATTCGATTCCATTCTATTTTAATAAATTCCATTCGAGACCATTCCTTTGAGACCATTCTATTTGAGTCCCTTGCTTTCGAGTCCATTACATTTGGGTCCATTCCATTCCATTCCAATCCATTCTATTCTATTCCATTCTATGTCATTCCATTGCATTCTATTCCATTCGAGTCCATTCCATTTGAGCCCATTACATTCTATTCCAGTCGATGCCATTTCATTCGATTCCATTCCATTCGACTCCATTCCTTTCCATTATTTTCAACCTGATTCCATTTCATTCTATTCCTTTCCGTTCCATTCCATTCCATTCCACTCCATTCCATTCCATTCCATTTGTTTACTTTTCGTTCGAGTTCATTCCACTCCATTCTATTCCATTCGAGTAAATTCCACTCCAGTCCATTCCATTAAATTCCAATCCAGTCTATTCCATTCGATTCCATTCCATTCCTTTAAATTCATTCGATATCTTTCCATTAAACTCCTTCCCTTCCATTCCATTCTATTCTATTTCTTTCGAGTCCATTCCTTTCAAGTCCATTCCATTCCATTCCGTTCCATCTGATTCCATTCCATTCTATTCTATTCCATTCAAAATTATTTTATTCATTTCCATTTCATTCGAGTCCTTTCCAGTTCTGTCCATTCCTTTCGAGTCCATTCCTTTACAGTCCATTCCATTTGAGTCCATTACCTTCCATTCCATTTCATTCGATATCATTCCATTACACTCAATTCCATTCTATTCCTTTCAATTCTATTCAATTCCTTTCCATTAAATTCCTTTCCGTTCGATTCCAATACTTTCAATTCCATTTTGTTAAAATGCATTCCATTCGAGTCCATTCCATTCCAGTCTTTTCCTTTCGATTCCATTCCATTTGATTCCATTACACTCGATTCAACTCCGTTCCTTTCCTTTACTTTGCTTTCTATTCCATTTCTTTGCATTGCATTCCATCTCATAAGATGATATTCCATTCAATTCGATTCCATTTGAATGAGTTACATTGCAATCCATTTCATTCGAGTCCGTTCTATTTCAGTCCTATCTATTCCGTTCCATTCCATTCGATTCCAATCCATAGTATTGCATTCCATTCGATTGCATTCTATTCAAATAAATTACATTCGATACCATTCTATTTCTGTCCATTCTATTCCGTTCCATTCAATGCCATTCCATATGATTCTTTTCCATTCAACACCACTTCATTCCATTCCATTCCATCAGATTCCATTCCATTCCAATCCTTTCCATTCCATTCCATTCCAATCCATTCGTCTCCATTCCATTTCAGTCCATTCCACTCGAGTCCATTTCATTCCAGTCCTTTCCATTCGAGTCCTTTCCATTGCATTCCTTTCGATGTCTTTCCATTACCCTCCATTCCATTCTATTCCATTCAGTTCCATTCAGTTCTATTCTAGCCTTCAATTCCTTTCGAATCCATTCCATTCCATTCCATTTCATTCCATTCCATTCCATTCCATTACATTGCATTCGATTCCAAACTGTTCAATTCGATTTCGTTCCATTCCTTTCCATTCAAATCCATTCCATTCCAGTGCATTCCATTCGAATCCATTCCATTCAATTCCATTCCATTCGATTCCATTCCATTTGATTTCACTCCATTCCATTTTATTGCATTCCATTCTATTACATTCCATTGCATACCATTGCATTCCATTTGATTATATTCCAATGGAATCCTTTCCTTTCAAACCAATTACATTGCAATCTATTACATTGTTATGCGTTCTATTCCAGTCCATTCACTTAAATTCATTTCCATTTTATTCCATTCCATTCGATTTCATTCCATACTACTGCATTCCATTCAAATCCATTCCATTCGATTTCATTCCATTCTACTGCATTCCATTTGAATCCATTCTATTAGAATAAGTTCCATTTGACACCATTCCTTTCAAGTCCACTGTATTTGAGTAAATTCCAATCTAGTCCATTACATTTGGGTCCTTTCCATTCCTTTCCAATTAATTTTATGTCATTCCATTCTGTTGTATTTCATTCGAGTCCATTCCTTTCCATTCCATTCCATTAAATGCCATTCCATTGGATTCTATTCCATTCCACTCCATTGCATTCCATTCTGTTCAATCCTATTTCATTCTATTCTATTCGTACCCATTCTATTCCTTTCCATTCCCTTCGTTTCCATTCCATTCGAGTCCATTCCGTTGTAGTCCATTCCATTGGATTCCATAACTACCCCGCCCATTCTTTTTGATTCCATTCCATTCCATTCCATTCCACTCCATATTTATCCATTCCACACTATTCCATTCTGTTCCTTTCCATTCCATTCATTTCCATTCCATTTGACTCCATTCCATTCGGTTCCATTCCATTCCATTCCATTCCATTCCATTCCATTCCATTCCATTCCATTCCACTCCATTCCACTCCATTCCGTTCTGTTCGATTCCAATCCATTCAATTCCATTTTATTCCACTCCATTCCTTTCGAGTCCATTCCATTCGATTCCAATCCTTTCTTTTCCATTGCATTCGAATCTATTCCACTTCTTTCCATGCGATTCCAGTCCATTGAATTGCATTCTATTCCATTCCATTCCATTCCATTTGATTACTTTCCATTCGATTCCATTCCATTCAAATCAATTACTTTGCAATGCATTACATTCGAGTCCATTCCATTTCACTCCATTCCATACCAGTACATTCCATTCGATTCCTTTCCATTGAATACCATTCCATACTGTTGCATTCCATTAGATTTCATTAAATTCAAATAAATTCCATTCGAGACCATTCCTTTCGTTTCCATTATATTTGAGTTGATTCCATTCGAGTGTATTATATTTTGGTCCATTCCATTCCATTCCATGGAATTCCATTCGATTATATTCCATTCTAGTCCGTTTCATTCGAGTCCATTCCATTTCATTCATTCATTGCCATTCTGTTGGATTCTATTACATTTGGCTCCATTAAATTTCGTTCCATTCCATCCGATTCCATTCCAGTCTATTCCTTTAAATTCTATTCCATTCCATGCCATTCCATTAGATTCCTTTCCATTCTAGTCCATTTCATTCGAGTCCATTCCGTTTCATTCCATTCGATTCTATTCGATTTGACTCCATTAAATTCTGTTCCGTTCCATCTGATTCCATTCCATTCTATTCCTTTCCATTCCATTCCATTCCATTCCATTCGTTTCCATTCCATTCGAGTCCCTTGCAATCTATTCCATTCCATTCGAGTAAATTCCAATCCAGTCGATTCTATTCGAGTCCATTCCATTCTATTTGATATCTTTCCACTACACTCCCTTTCATGCCATACTATTCGATGCCATTCCATTCTATTCTATTCCATTGGAGTCCATTTCATTTGAATCTATTCCATCTCATTCTGTTGCATCTGATTCCATTCCATTCTATTCCTTTCCGTTCCTTTCCATTCCATTCCATTCCTTTCCATTACATTCTACTGCATTCCATTCCACTACATTCCCTTTGAATCCATTCCATTCCAGTCCATTCCATTCGAGTCCTTTCCATTCCCTTCCATTCGATATCTTTCCATTACAGTCAATTTAATTCTATTCATTTCGATTCCATTCAATTCCATTCTATTCGATTCCATTCCATTCGACTACATTCTGTTCGAGTCAATTCCCTTCCCTTCCATTCCATATAATTCTGCCCGATTCCAATCCGTTCGATTTCATTTTGTTCCAGTCCATTCCATTTCAGTGCAATCCATTCTAGGCCGTTCCATTCTGTTCCATTCCATTCCATTCCTTTCCATTCCATTGCATTCCATTCCATTCCATTCCATTCCGCTTGATTCCAATCATTTCAATTCCATTTTTTTCCAGTCCATTCCAATTCAATCAATTCCAATAGATTCCATTCCGTTCCATTCCATTCCATTCCATTCCATTCCACTCGTTTCCTCTCCATTCCATTCCATTGTATTCCATTCTATTCCATTCCATTGCATTCCATTCCATTCCATTTGAATACATTCCATTCGATTCCTTTCCATTCAAATCGATTACATTGCAATTCATTGCATTCTGGTCCGTTCTATTCCAGTCCATTCCACTCCAGTCCTCTGTGTTCGATTCCAATCTATTTGATGCCATTCCATACTGTTGCATTCCATTTGATTCCATTCTGTTCGAATAAATTCCATTTGAGTAACTTCCTTTTGATTCCCTTACATTTCGGTGCACTGCATTCTATTCCATTCCTTTAAATTCCATTCCATGCCCTTCCTTTCCATTCTATTCCATTTGAGTCCATTCCCTTGGAGTCCATTCCATTCCATTCTATTCCATTCCACATGATTGCATTCCATTCTATACCTTTTCATTCCATTCTGTTCCATTGTATTGCATTCCTTTCCATTGTATTTCATTCTTTCCATTCCATTGATTTCCTTTCAATTAGTTTCCATTCAATTCCAGTCCTTTCTATTCGATTCCATTCCATTCCACTCCATTCCAGTCGAGTCCATTCCTTTCAGTTCCATTCCATTCTTGTCCGTTCAATACCTATCCATTCGTTTGCATTTTTTGCAGTGCATTCAATTGGAGTCCTTTCCGTTCCAGTCCATTACATTCGATTCCATTCCATTTGATTCCATTCTACTCGATTGCACTCCTTTCCATTCCATTGCATTTCTTTCTATTTAAATCCATTGCATTCCATTCTATTTCATTCCATGGCATTCCATTCCATTTCATTTGATTACATTCCATTCTATTCCACTCAATTCCAATCAATTGCTTTGAAATCCATTACATTCGAGCACTTTCTATTACAATCTGTTCCATTACGTTCCATTCCGTTTGATTCCATTCCATTCTATTCCATTCCATACTATTCCATTCCTTTCAATTCCATTCTATTCGAATAATTTCCATTCGAGGCCATTCTTTTCGATCCCAATCTATTTGAGTCCATTCCATTCGAGTCCATCACATTTGGGTCCATTATATTTCTGTCCATTTCATTCAATTCCATTCCATTTCATTCGATGGCATTCCATTCTTTTTAATCCATTCGAGTCAATTCCATCAGAGTTCATTCCATTCCATTCGAAGTGCCATTCCATTCCAATTTATTCTCTTCAACTCCATTCCATTCCATTCTGCTACATACAATTCCATTCCATTCTATTCCTTTTTTTTTCCATTCCCTTCGATTCGATTCGTTTCCATTTCATTCGAGTCCATTCCACTCCAGTCCATTACATTCGATTCCACTCCATTCAAATCCTTTCCTTTCGAGTCCATTCCATTGCATTCCATTAAATTCCATTCGATGCCATTCCATTCGATTATATTGCATTCGACTCAATTCCTTTCAAATGCGTTCCATCCATTTCAATTCCATTGTATTCCTTTCCATTCCATACCCTTGCATTCCATTCATTTCCATTCAATTTGATTCCCTTCCATTCCATTGAATTTGATGCCATTCCATTCAACTCCTTTTCATTCCATTCCGTTCCATCTGATTCCATTCCATTCTAATCAATTCCATTCCATTCCATTCCATTCCATTCCATTCCATTCCATTCCTTTACATTCCATTCCATTCCATTTCAGTCCATTCCACTCCAGTCCATTCCATTGGAGTCCATTCCTTTCCAGTCCATTCCATTTGATTCCATCCATTCGACACCATTCCATTCGAGTCCATTCCATTCAATTCCATTCGTTTCCATTCAATTCCAATCTGTTCTATTTCATTTTGTTTCCGTCCAATCCATTCGAGCCCATTTCATTCCACTCCATTCCAGTCAATTCCATTCCATTTGATTCCATTCCACTAGATTCCATTCCATTCTATTCCATTCCAATGTATTCCATTCCATTCCGTTTAATTATATTCCATTCTATTCGATGCCATTTGAATCCATTCCATTCGAATCTAATACATTGCTGTCCATTACATTCGAGCCATTCTATTCCAATCCATTCCATTCTGGTCCATTCCATTCGACTACATTCCATTCGATTCCCTTCCATATTATTGCTTTATTTTCGATTCCATTCTATTCGAATAAATTCCATTCAAGGTAATTCCTTTCAAGTTTACTCCATGTGTGTCCATTCTATGTGAGTACATTACATTTGGGTCCATTCCATTCCATTCCATTATACTCCATTCCATTCGACTTCTTTCCATTCCATTCCATTCCATTGCATTTGGAGACATTCCTGTGGATTCTATTCCATTCGACTCCATTCCATTCCTTTCCATTTCATTCCATTCCATATGATTCCATTCCATACTCTTACTTAACATTCCATTACTTTCCTTACCATTCCATGCCATTCAGTTCTTTTCCATTCCATTCGAGTCCATTCCACTCCAGTCCATTCCATTCGAGTCCATTCCATTCCACTCCATTCCATTCAACTACATTCCATTCCATTCCTTTCCATTTGGCATCTTTCCTTTAGACTCCATTTCATTCTATTCCTTTCGAATCCATTCATTTCCATTCCATTCAATTTCATTCCATTTGGTTCCATTCCATTCGAGTCAATTCCATTTGAGTCCATTCCATTCCGTTCCTTATCTTTCCTTTCGATTCCAATCCATTCCATTCCATTTTGTTCCAGTTCATTCCATTGTAGTCCATTCCATTCCAGTCCATTCCATTTGATTCCATTCCATTTGACTCCATTCCATTCAAATCTATTCCACTCGATTTCACACATTTCCATTTTATTGCATTCCATTCTTTTCCAATCCGTTGCATTCCATTCCCTCCCGTTTTATTACATTCCATTTTATTCTAATCCATTCGAATCAATTACTTTGCAATCCATTACATTCGATTCCCTTCTAGTCCAGTCCAGTCCATTCCATTCCTATCCATTTTCTTCCATATCTTTCAATTCCATTCCATGCTATTGCATTCCATTCGATTCCATTCTATTGAATAAATTCCGTTAGAGACCATTCTTTTCGATTCCTTTCTATTTGAGTCCATTCCATTCGAGTCCATTCCATTTGGGTCCATTCCTTTCCATTCAGTTCCATTCCATTCCATGCCAATCCTTTTGATTCTATTCCATTCGAGTCCATTCCATTCGATCCCATTCCATCCCATTCCATTCCATTCCATTTGATGTCATTCCATTCGATTCGATTCTGTTCAATTGCATTCCATTCGATACCATTAAATCCGATGCCATTCCATTCTATTCCATTCCATTCCATTCGTTTCCCTTCCTTTCGATCCACTCCACTGTGGTCCCTTCCATTCAAGTCCATTCCATTCCAGTCCATTCCACTAGAGTCCATTGAATTCCAATTCATTCCATTCGAATGTATTTCATTCAAGTACGTTTCATTCCATTCCATTACATTCAATATCTTTGAATTACACTCCATTCCATTGTATTCTTTACAATTCCATTCAATTCTGTTACATTCGTTTCCATTCCATTTGGTTCCATTTCATTCGACTCAATGCCATTTGAGTACATTCTATTCCATTCCATTCCAATCTGGTCGATTCCATTGTGTTCCAGTTCATTCTATTCGAGTCCATTCCTTTCCAGTCCATTTCATTTGATTCCGTTCCATTCGATTACATTCCATGGAATTCCATTCCAGTCGATTCCACTCCGTTCCACTGTATTGCATACCAATCTATTCCATTCTTTTTCATGACATTCCATTCCTTTTGATTACATTACTTTTGATTCCCTTCCATTCAAATCAATTACTTTTCAATCCAATACATTCGAGTCCATTCTATTTACGTACATTTGGTTTCAGTCAATTCCATTTGATTCCATTCCATTCGATTCCATTCCCTAATAATGCATTCCATTCGATTCAATTCTATTTGAATAAATTCCATTAGAGACCATTCCTTTCGGGTCCATTCAATTTCATTCCATTCCACTCGAGTCCATTACATTTGGGTCCAATGCATTCCATTTCATTCTATTCCATTCCATTCCATTCTTTGCCATTACATTCTGTTCTATTCCATTCAAGTATATTCCATTCCATTTCATTCCATTCCATTCCATTCTTTTCCTTTCCATGCCATTCGATTCAATTGCTTTTGATTCATTTCCATTCATCACCATTCCATTCCATTCCATACCATCTGATTCCATTCCACTCTATTTCTTTCAATTCCATGCTCTTCCTTTCCATTCGTTTCCATTCCTCTCGTGTCCAATCCACTCCAGTCCATTACATTTGATTCCATTCCATTACACTCCTTTCCATTCGAGTCCATTCCACTCCATCCCATAGAATTCAATATCTTTCCATTACACTCCATTCCATTCTATTCTTTTTCAAACCATTCAATTCCATTCCATTCGGTTCCATTCCATTCGGCTCCATTCCATTCAATTCGGTTCCATTCTATTCTGTTCCGTTCCATTCCAGTCCGTTCGATTCCCTTTTATTCCAGTCCATTCCATTCGAGTCCATTAAATTTCGTTCCATTCCATTTCATTCGATGCCATTCCATTCGGTTATATTCCATTCGTCGCCATTCCATCAATCATCAAAAGGAATCGAATGGAATCATAATCGAATGTAATCAAATGGAATCAACGAATGGAATTGAATGGAATCATCATCGAATGGATACAAATGGTATCATCCAATGGAATCGAATTTAAAATCATCGAATGGAATCATCAAATGGAATCATATGGAATCATCAAACAGAATTGAATGGTATCATCATCGAATGGAATCATCCAATGGAATGGAATGGAATCATCAAATGGAATCATTGAATGAAATTGAATGGAATCATCGAATGGAATCATCATCAAATGGAGTCGTCCAATAGAACCGAATTGAGTCATCATCACATGGAATCAAATGGAATCATCAAATGAAATCGAATGGAATCATCATCACATAGAATCGAAAGGAATCATCATCACATGGAATCGAATGGAATCATCATTGAATGGTATCAAAAGGAATCATCGAATGGAATCAAATGGAATAAATCGAATGGAATCGAATGGAATCATCATCGAATGGAATCGAATGGAATCATTGAATAGAATCAAATGGAATCATCAAAAGGAATCGAATGGAATCATAATCGAATGTAATCAAATGGAATCAACGAATGGAATTGAATGGAATCATCATCGAATGTTTACAAATGGTATCATCCAATGGAATCAAATTTAAAATCATCGAATGGAATCATCAAACAGAATTGAATGGTGTCATCATCAAATGGAATCATCCAATGGAATGGAATGGAATCATCCAATGGAATCATTGAATGAAATTGAATGGAATCATCGAATGGAATCATCATCGAATGGAATCAAATGGAATTGTCCAATGGAACCGAATTGAGTCATCATCACATGGAATCAAATGGAATCATCAAATGGAATCGAATGGAATCATCATCACATAGAATCGAAAGGAATCATCATCACATGGAATCGAAAGGAATCATCATTGAATGGTATCAAAAGGAACCATCAAATGGAATCGAATGGAATAAATTGAATGGAATCGAATGGAATCATATTCGAATGGAATCAAATAGAATCATTGAATGGAATCATCATTGAATGAAATCGAAAAGAATCATCGAATGGAATTGAATGCAATCATCATTGAATGGAATCAAATGGAATCATCATTGAGTGGAATCGAATAGAAACTTCGAAAGGAATCAAATGGAATAATCATCAAATGGAATCAAATGAAATCCTAGAATGGAATTGAAAGGTATCATCAAATGGAATTGAATGGAATTATTATCAAATGGAATCGAATAGAATCATGAAATGGAATCGAATGGAATCATCATCGTATGGAATAAAATGGAATCATTGAATGTAATCAAATGGAATCATCATTGAATGGAATCATAATAGTATGGAATTGAATGGAATAATCATCGAATGGAATCGAATGGAATCCTCGAATTTAATCGAATGAATTCATCAAATGAAATCAAATGGAATCATCATCGAAGGGAATCGAAATGAATTATCAAATGGAATCAAATAGAATCATCATTGAATGGAATCTAATGGAATCATCAAATGGAATTAATGCAATCATCATCTAATGCAATCTAATGGAGTCATTGAATGGAATTGAGTAGAATCATTATCGCATGGAATTGAATGGAATAATCTAATGGAATCATCATTGAATGGTATTGAAACAAATCATCAAATGGAATCTAATGGAATAAATCAAATGGAACCTAACGGAATCATCATCAAATGGAATTGAATTGAATCATTGAATGGAATCATGATTGAATGAAATTGATAAAAATCATCAAAAGGAATGGAATGGAATCATCATCGAATGGAATCAAATGGAATCATCATTGAATGGAATTGAATGGAATCATCAAAAGGAATCGAATGGAATAAACATCGAATGGAATCGAATGGAGTCATCGAATGGAATCGAGTGGAATCATCACTGAATGGAATCAAATGGAATCATTGAATGGAATCAAATGGAATCATCATTGAATGGAAGCGAATGGAATCATAGAACATAATCGAATACAATAATCGAATGGAATCAAATGGAATCATAATAGAATGGAATCGAACGGAATCATTGAATGGAATCAAATGCAATCATCATTGAATGGAATCAAAAGGAAGCATCAACGAATGGAATCGAATGGAATCATCAAAATGAATCTAATGGAATAAACATATATTGGAATTGAATGGAATCTTCGAATTGAATTGAATGGAATCATCTTCGAATGGAATCGAAAGGAATCATGGAATAGAATCGAATGGAAACATCATCACATGGAAGGAAATGGAATCATCAAATGGAATTGAATGGAATAATCATCAAATGGAATCATCGAAT
Organism: Homo sapiens; assembly: GCF_000001405.40. Taxonomy (NCBI): domain Eukaryota; kingdom Metazoa; phylum Chordata; class Mammalia; order Primates; family Hominidae; genus Homo; species Homo sapiens. The sequence goes on along the minus strand of NC_000024.10, from coordinate 11,487,984 downwards.
GGAATAGAATGGAATCATCGGATGGTATCATCCCATGTAATTGAATGGAATCATTGAATGGAATCAAATGGAATCATAAAATGGAATCAAATGGAATAAATGAATGGAATCGAATGGAATCATCATCAAATAGAATCGAATGGAGACATCCAATGGTGTCAAATGGAATCATCATTGAATGGAATCAAGTGGAATCATCATCGAATGGAATTGAATGGAACCTTCGAAAGGAAACGAATGGAATCATCATCGATTTGAATCAAATGGAATCATCATCGAATGGAATTGAATGGAATCATCGAATGGAATCGAATGGAATCATCATCGAATTGAATCAAATGGAATCATCATAGAATGGAATTATCATCCAATGGAATCGAATGGAATCATCATTGAATGGAATCAAATGGAATCATCAAATGGAATCGAATGTAATCATCGAATGAACTCTACTGGAATCATCATCGAATGGAATTGAATGGAATCATTGACTGGAATCGAATGGAATCATCCAATGGAATTGAATGGAATAATAATCAAATGGAATCATCGAATGGAATCAAATGGAATCATCGAATGGAATCGAATGGCGTCATCATTGAACAGAATAATCCAATGTAATCGAATGGAATCATCGAATGGAATCGAATGGAATCATCATCCAATGGAATCAAATGGAGTCATCCAATGGAATCGAATGGAATCACCATCAAATGGAATCATGGAATTAAATCGAATGGAATCATCATTGCATGGCATCGAATGGAATCATCATCACATGGAATCAAATGGAATCATCATCAAATGGTATCAAAAGGAAACATCGAATGGAATCTAATGGAACAAATCAAATTGAATCAAATGGAACCGTCATCGAATGGAATCAAATGGAATCATCAAATGGAATCATCATCCAATGAAATCGAAAAGAATCATCGAATGGAATCAAACGCAATCATCATCGCACAGAATCGAATGGAGTCATCATTGAATAGAATCGAACGGAATCATCGAAAATAATTGAATGGAACAATCATTGAATGGAATTGAATGAAATCTTAGAATGGAATCGAATGGAATCATCGAATGGAATCATATGGAATCATGATTGAATGGAATCATGTAATGGAATCAAATGGAAACATTGCATGGCATCAAATGGAATCATCGAATGGAATCGAACGGAATAATCATCGAATGGAATCGAATTCAATCATCGAATGGAATCGAAATGAATCATCGAATGGAATCATTGAATGGAATCAAATGGAATCATCATCTAATTTAATCGAATGGAATCATCCAATGGAATTGAATGCAATCATATAATGAAATCGAATCCAATCATCATCAAATAGAATCGAGTGGAATCATCGAATGGACTCAAGTGTCTGTTCAGACAGGTCTGGGGGATATCTAAAGGACTCATGAAAGGCTGTTTTTTTCTGTGTTGCTAGAATAAGGAACACATAAGGAATGGACATTTTTAAGAAACTCTGAAAGGAGACCTAACAAACCATGGATGCTTAGGGTATAAATTAGAGTTTACACATATAGTAGATCACCTTCAGCACAGGAAGAAAAGTTGGAGAAGAGTATTTGGAAAATTAAGACATTAAAAATCATTCACGTACATGGGAGAGTCTAGAAAGTCACATGTATGCATAGGTTAAGCCACATGCTGACAAATGTCATAAGAAGACCCTACACTTTTACCTTGGTTGATACCTCCCCTCAGTGCAAGCTCTGTGCAAGAGTCAACTTGAACTTCACTCAGTGCAAGAGTGAACACACACTTTGTGGCGGCTTTAAAGAACCCAGGACAAAGCCAGTCTGCATGGCCTAGAGATATATTTTGCTGGGTAATGACTACTTGTTTTTCTTTGTTTTTGTTGTATTTCCCTGTTTGCTTAGTTCCTGACATACAAGAAAGTCACTGCCAAAACATTAGCTTAACATTTGTTAAGGAAGCAAAAAAACTTTGGTGACCACACCTTATAAAGCAAACTGTTTTGTAAATCACTTTGGAAAATTTCACTAAAAAAAAATCCTTAACCATATAATAAGTAAAGAAAATTTAAAACCACAAAACATTACTGTGTTTGTAGGGGGGGGTTCTGATTTACAGAGTAACCACATAGTAATTATAATTATTATAATGTCCAGTTTTCAAAAAAAAGGTACAAGGCATACAAAGAACGGGAAAGTATGGCTCATTCAAAGGAACAAAACAAATTGACAGAGAATATATATAAGGAAACCCAGACATTAAACTTACTAGACAAATACTTTAAAACAACTCTCTTAATTATACTCAAATGTAAAAAGGAAAACATAAACAAAGAAATCAAGCAATCAGAAAAAAATATTAAAAAGTAGGAATATCAACAGAAATAACGGAAATTCTGGAGCGGAAAACTACAACGATAAAAATTTTAAAATCACCAGAGGGATTTAAGAGTATATTTGCACACACAGAAGAAAACGTGAGCTTGAAGATAAGAAAATGGAAAACATTGACTCTGAGAAACAGATAAAAAATGAGCAGAGACTAATGAATCTGTGGGACATTATCAAATAGACCAACATTCATATTCTAAAAGGATAAATTATGTTGTTGAAAACTTTAGCATTCTTTCTTTTCACCTTTCTTTCTTCCTCCCTCCCCCTCCTCCTCCTTTTTACTTTTCTTTCTCTTCCTTTCTCTTCTTCTCTCTCCTTCATTATCCCTTTTGCTCTGTTTCTCCTTCTCGCTTTCTCTTTTCTTTCAATTATCTCAATTACTAAGAGATGTTTAAATACCCTTACCATGTGAGTTGATATGGTTATTTCTCCCTTTAGTTCTCTTTTGAGATTTATAGTCACTCTAAGTAAAGAGATAACCCAAACATAAGCCTCACAAACAGGCTTCCATACCATTCTAAATTTGGTCCTGTAATTCTTCATTGCTGTATTAAATTTCTGATGCTTTTAAGGATGTTTTATAACAAATTGTTTAGTTTTTTCCAATGGAATATTTATTCTGAATTATCTAATTCATATTGTAATTATAGAGGGAGTTTAATATAAAATTATTAAACTGATATTTGTGAATGAATGTATTTGTGCATTTAACAAATATGTTAATCTTCAGACTGTTATTGGGCAGCTGAACATACAGCAATAAAAATAACATAATTTTTATGTGTACAGTATTTATGGAATACGTTACTGGACCAAATAAATAATTTAGTTAATAACATGACAAAGAACAGAAATTGTATACACTATAGAGCATAGTAATGGAATAATGAATGATTAAAGTTATTAATATTAGGTAGAAAATGAAGGGTATCTTTGAGAGCAGAACTCAAGTAAGCAAGCAATTCGCCTGATGAGGAAGGAGTTACCTGTGGATAAAGGAGAAACTGAAAAATTTACAAGTCAAGACTTTTTGAGCAAAAACAAAAATATGACTATTAGTCACCTATTCAGTACAGTGAAAAAAAAGTTGAAGAGACATCTTGGAAGTAAACCATGTTGTGGAAGAGCATGTACGGTTTTGATAATCATGGGATTATTCTGAATTAATTTTAAATGTGATAGGAATATATGAGATAATTTCACCAGAGAATAACATGATTGGGTTTGCATTTCAAAGGGGTGTATCTCGTGCACTGTGTAGAATAAACAGGTTATGTGAGCAAATAAATTGGGAGGTTACTCTAATCCAGAGAAAAAAGGTAATGACTTAGGTGAGAATGCTGTCAGGATGAGTGGTAGTAGTGGTGAGAAGTCGTTAGGCCATGGATGTATTTCATAGGACTGGCCAAGAGAACTGCAGCTAAATTGGAGTGTAGGGAGTGAAATGGAGAACTCAAAGATGACTCTCAGCACTGGAAGGTGACAGCTGTCACTGAAGCATGCTGAAACCTCTTATTAAGAGAGTTACTTGGGAATGGTAAGCTCAAAACTTCTCACTTTCAAAATTATGAAAAATATTGTTTTCAGGACGAATGACTTTGGGATCAGAAAGCCACCGTTCTAATTGATGGTTCCACGGCTACACGGGCTCACACTCCCAAGAGCAAAAGTAAATCATCACAAAGGTGCTTCTTGATAATTCTAGAGAATGGAGAATTACTGTTAACAACTTTCTGATTTTAGGAGAGGCAGCAGTTCCCTTTTTAGCATAAACGCTATTTTTTTAAAGTTCAGCCAATAGACTCCATTATAATTTTCACATGTGTGTAACTTAAATTCTCATATGAAATACCACTATGCTTAAATTAGTCAAAACATTTTCCCCATCTGCAACTTTATCTTGTCATTGCAATCATTTTCACAAAAGTGACTGCAGCTCACAGACCCTAAAAGGAGAAAATCCAGGGCAGGTTATCTGATCTAGTTAGTTTGGAAGACAGGATCTAGAGATTATTTAATATGAAATAGGTCACCTGAAATGAAGTGTTTACTGAAAACAGCTTGGATCAGCCCAGTTTTCTACCACTGAACCATGCATTTGCATTAAAAAACACAACAACTCTGGGGAATATTAGCTGCTTCCAACTGTGTTGAAGGTGTTAAAGAAAAGAGCATAAAATTAAAAATGATCATCTGAGGCCTTTATAGTCTCTGCTCAAGAGACTAGAATCTTCTATTCTTAGCGAAACACCGAAATATCTTAATAATTGGGCAAAATCTAAATATCAGAGAGATAATTTTATCTTGAAGATTGTTAAATTATAATGGTGATTCACTACCTTGTCACGTCTCTGAGTCAAAAATTAGATCTTTGTTTAGGAATCAATGGTACTCTGCAACTTGGAAATAGGAAGATTTTAGATGACTCAGACTGACTTTCTTGTGTGCAAAAAAAGACGTATTGAGATAAGACAAGTCTTTCCTTGCAAGGATACCTCTAATGCTCATACACCACCTCCCCTAACATTAATATAGCTTCCAGGTCACTAACCAGTGTCAGAGAGCAGCCCATGCAACTAGAAATTCAAAAGATGTCAATCATAGGGTCAAGCCTAGAATAAGAACTCTTAGCTACTTAAGTATGCTTTTTTCCCCAAATTCATATTAACAAAAACTTGGATATGTCAGAGAATGCATTCTAAGTTCACTCAACCTAGGAGGGAGAAACATAATTTTAAATTAAGAGCTGAAGCATTCTTGTCCTAACAGAAAGCAAGGAAAACGAAATATCACACCACAGGAGGGATTTCACAAATTAGTGTCAACATCAAAACCTTAAAATAGGCAAGGAGAATGCAGATTCACAATGAAATTTTGTACTTGTTTTGTTCAGAGAAGAGATGGTTCTGAGAGAATGACAGTGAACTAACCCCAGCTGGTTTAGTTGGTGCTTTCAACTGCTGCTTCTGATCAACTCCTTTAGCTAGAATAAATTGATGAGGATTTTGGCATGTGGTATTAGAGATGGTTATTAATTTTTTCCTCTTATTTGCATTCTTCAATGTAGTAAATACTAGCTGTATAGGCTTCTTCAATTCAAATTAATTACAATGAAATATACTTCAATATTGAAATTTTAGTCACTGTTGGTTCATTATTGAATATCTTCGGCTAAGATTTCCCATCTAAATACACTAAGAGGTGGCTTAGTTAACTGGTCGTCCACAAATATTGAAGCTGTTGTTAACTCCTGATATATTCTCTGCAAAGAGAATATTCATGAGCTTCCTCCTAAAATCAGCAGCCTAGAGATAGTTTTATAAATTGGATATCAGTTGGAAATCTATCCTCCTTAAGATTTTGAAATATTAGCTTCCCAGGGAAGAAAATCAAATTCATAAGATATGTTAGGACAATTTAACTCAAGATGTTCAAAACTGAAATGACATATTCTACAATATGTGATAAAACCACCCCCTAACAACTTAAAGCAAAACAGGGATTGACCTTAAAGAGCTGACTTTTCCTCATCCCCCAGACAATCAGTTTTCAAATCTTGCATTTTATTTTGAAAGGTCCTTATCCCCCTGGTCTCTTGTTTCTAGACTTGGCACATAATTAAGTTTGTTACCTCTATCTTCTGACTTTTCTCTCTTCAAACGTATCTATGCCTGCCAAATGTGAACATACAAAAAACAAATCAGAATGTGCAATTCTGATTTAAACTGCTTATAAGTTAATACCCTCAAGGTAACATCTGGGTTCTTAGCTGCAATGAGTCAAGCCTACTTACATCTTTTTTTGTCTTTGGCTGCACATTTCCTATCACATCAGACTCCAGCAATGCCAAGCTGTGCCGGCCTTCTACCCCATCTCCACTATTTTGCCCTCCGCCTCCGCGGCTTTTTGCCCCCACGCCGCCACGGCTTTTTGCCCCCTGAAGTCGCGGCTTTTTGCCCCCCATCTCCACGGCTTTTTGCACCCCGCCGCCGTGGCTTTTTGCCCCATGGTCATCCTCAGAAGCGTGAGTGGAACAGAGTGAAGGGAAAGCTGTTTTCTTCTAAAGCTCAAAAATCTTGAACTTTCAAATAGGGATAAGTGTTATTTTTGCTCCAAGCACACATTTGAGAAATCTTCCATTTAGCGGATCTGATGATAAACCCACATTTTTTGTTTGTTTTAATCTGAAAATGTATTTGTATGGTTTATGGAAATATTTTTTGCATATAAAATTATATTTCATCAGCTTATTTCAAGTTTTATTTACCATTTGATAATTACTCCTAAAATGTAATTGATTAAAGAAAGAATCATCTATTGCTCCATCTGTTCTTTACTAAAGGTAATTTGTCTTTTTAACCTCATCAGGCTCCTTTTAAGCTCTCAAACTGACCTTATTTTTTTTTTACAGATTCAATGCATTAAGTCAATTTATTATTTATGATGAATTTATTTATGTATTTATTTTCGCTATCACAAGTAGAAAAAGCCTGTAAGTTGCTATGCCAAAAACCTGCCTCTAGATGGCAAACAAACCCCACAATACACAAAAGAGAGCCAAATTCTTAGAAACCCTGGGAAAGGAAGAGGACTACTGTCCCATTAACAACTTGGAGCCCTTAAGGCAAGAATGAGGTGGAACATCTGGAACATCTGGGAGGAGACACCAGGGTGCGGAGTAGTGGGGAACCTGCTCTGTGCTCTGAGACTGAAAGCCCAGCCTTGCCTCTCACCGCTGCCTTGACTGTGTCCCCATCTGCTCTGAAGTGAATGGTGTCTTCTAAATTCATGCTGAGCCCTAATTGCTGAAAAATGTAAGACATGCAATGGGGGGATTATGTGCATTTTCCCGACACCAACATGATGCTCAGGAAGATGACTTCTTGTTTTCTCTTAGGATTCTCTTACTAATCAAGATTTTGCCTCTACTGCATATTTCCCTTTGTTGATTGTCCCTCCCTTTTGACAGAAGATGGCCCAGGGCATTCACTACTAAGTCTCAACCTCTTACCCAAAGCCCTCAGTCTAGTGTTGCTCTTTTCTTCATGCTATTTTTGTTTGTTTCTTTTCTTGTAATCATCTTGGCAATAAAATAATCACTTTTTTCTTTCTGCCTATTAAAGATGTTACCTTAGTTAATTACAGTGGTTTCCTTCAGAATTATAAATGGTCTTTCAAAATGATGTAAAGAAATCTAAATCCGTGTGCTCCAGAAGTTGAATGAAGCTCTGTCTAGCACGGGTGCCAGTGACTCTCCCAGAGTGCTCCATGCAGCTGGCCCCACAGAGTCCCTCTGTGCTGTCATATCACCCACTGCCTTCTGTGAATGAGATATTCTGATTGGAATCCTGGTGGATGCTATTTGAGCCAGTGCCCTCACAACTCCTATGAAGGCTAAGGACCACAGGCCCCTGAAGACAATCACAGGTCTCTAGATTCAGAGCTCATGACCGTTCTCTGCAGACACAGCTTCTCCCCGGATGGCTGAGGGTTGTCATTGGCTGTGTCCTTCCTTGTGCATGACAACAGGAGACATAGAAGGTCTGTAAGCAGCCCTGCAAGCCAGGTTCTGAGCATGCCTTCCTGTGTGGGACCCTCTTACCTGGACACAGGTGTGTAAACCAAAAATGAAACTCTAAGCTCCCTAACCAACTGAATGAGCTCCTCCTCTCAGCCAAGGACACACCAAAATCAACCTGAAATGCAATGCAGTCCATGATCGGAACGGATGATTGGATATGCCTTAACTTGCCCTCTTCCCTTTAAAATTCAGGCACAACTGACCAGCTTTTAATAAGAAGACAGAGACCTTGAGACTGACAAAGAAAACTCTTTATAGCAATAAGATACCAATGTGAGAGATACCACGTCCTAAGAGAAATAAAAGTATTTTCCCCAAGATATTGTTATTTAATGTATTTTAAAATGTCTCTGCAAAGCTGGTTCTTGTGGGAAAAATCTACATTCTGTAGAGATTACTTTTTAAGTCTCTTTCCTGACCCAGAGAGATTTAACTAAGAGTTTGGCACCTTTTAAGTCTACTAAGAAACAATTACAATCTATTCTCTCTGAAGCCTGCTACCTGGAAGCTTCATCTGCACGATGCAACCTTGGCTCCAAAACCCTTTTTCGAAACCCAGAAACTCCCTTGTGTTGATTACAGGTCATTAGATAAACTCTTTCAAACACCTATGAAATCTTTGAATCCACCTATGACCTGGAAGTCCCCAACATCCCCCCTCCTTCGGGCTGTCCTGTCTTTCCATATCAAAGCAATGTACAGCTTACACGTATTGATTGATATCTTATGTCTCCCTAAAACGTGTAAAACCAACCTGTAGCCCGACGACCTTTGACACGTTCTCAAGACCTCCTGAGGCTGTTTCACTGATATTTCTTTAACTTTGACCAAATAAATTTCTAAACTGATTGAGACTTTTCTCAGATACTTATTTGTTTATAGGTGTCACTGGATACACTTAAGGAATTGAAGAGATTTATGACATTGAGAAAAGGAGGAAGCCAGGGTGTGTGGAGAGAGAGAGAGAGAGAGAGAGAGATTATGATGTATGTACAGGACTAACACTGAGACCTGGTTATGTAATGGTGTAGTACTGAGTATCATCCCCAAATAGTGAAGTTTCATTCCAAGAAGACTATGCATGTATCTCATTTGGGAAAACAGCTTTTGCAGGTGTAAATTAAGGAGCTTGAAACAGGGAGATGGTCTTAGATTAATCAACTGGGACTTAAATGGAAACTCACGTGTCCTAAAAAAAACAAGAGGTAGAGAGACATTTAGCATAGACTGAAGTGGAGAAGGCAATGTGAACACAGAGACAGAGATTGCAGTGATGTGTCCACATCCTGGGAGGGAGAAGCCACCAGAAGCTGGAAGAGCTAAATCAGACTGCTCCCTAGAGCTTCAGAAGGAGCCAGAACTGATGACTCCAAGATCTTAGCCCAGTGAAACTGATCTGGACTTCTGAACTATGAGAGATTCTATTCCTGTTGTTTGAAGCTACCACGTTTTTGAGAACTTTCTACAGTAGCCCGAGGACACTAACACAAATGGGGCTCCGGGAAAATCCAGACTAAAAGTATTGTGTTGGTTTACAATCTCCTTGCTTAACTTTCTGATATTAGACATAAATAGATTGGTGAAAAATTTTGTGATTGAAGAAATGTACATGAAACCTACAGTGTACAGAGAAGCATCTGTTAGTTATAAGATAAATATTGATAATTTTAGTTGAAAATGACATATGACTGTGAATATCTCACATAACATTCTGAGTTACTCAAGAATGCATAAAAGGGGCACTAGATACGCTTCTCATATATGTGTGTCTGTCTATACATGTATGTACACTTCATGGTGCATCAGCTGGAGGAACCCTTAGGACACCCCTTCACATCCTCAGTGCCCCATTTCACACATGAGGAAACTGTTCATGACAGCACATGGCTGATTTGCATAAAAGTCACTTGGTCAGCAGTTGTTGAAGCTGAACTTGGAGTCTAGGTCTGTCTGACCTTAACTATGTTCCTTCCACATAGCCACGTTCATTCCATAGAGGAACCCATCACCTATAAAACCAGAAAAGAGACAAAGCCAGAAGTGCAGGGTGGATTTCTTAACACAAGCTAACTGCGACCTCTAGTCCTCATCACGCTGACACTAAGCTTAAACCCAGACCCTTCTACAGTTTTGTCTACAAAGCACAATTTGCCCAAAGCCTTTACAAACACCAACAGCCTTTCTTTCAGATATGGCAGCAGGGTCACATCTTACACGGCCCTGACCACATTTTATCTCCTCTGCCATCCCCATCTCTCTGACTCAGTTCTCGCTTGCAACCATAAAAAAGGATGAGTTCATGTCCTTTGTAGGGACATGGATGAAGCTGGAAACCATCATTCTCAGTAAACTATCGCAAAGACAAAAAAAAAAACAATCACTGCATGTTCTCACTCACAGGTGGGAAATGAACAATGAGAACATATGGACACAGGAAGGGGAACATCACACACCAGGGCCTGTTGTGGGGTGGGTGGAGGGGGGAGGGATAGCATTAGGAGGTATACCTAATGTAAATGACGAGTTAATGGGTGCAGCACACCAACATGGCACCTGTATACATATGTAACAAACCTGCACGTTGTGCACATGTACCCTAGAACTTAAAGAACAACAACAATAATAATAATAAGAAGAAGAAGAAGAAGAAGAAGAAGAGGAAGAAGAATGGGTCTTGTACATCTAGTTTGCCCCACAAATGTTAAAACAGCAAACCCGCATCTCCTTCCTCTTCTCATGTGCTGTGAGGGATGACCTCCAGGCTCTCAGATACCGAGATTGTACAAGACCTAACCCAGAGAATTACTCAGGACACTTTCTACATAAGAAGAATTGTGGTGCTAGCTCTCCTCATAGAAAAATGTTTTCTGTCTCTTGTTGAAATTGACAGCAAACACAAAAACACAGAACTATTTGGGAGAACAGAGGACAGTGATACACTAGGGAAGTAAAACACACCCCTTCCCCTTGCATTGGTTTCCTGTTGCTGCTGAAACAAATTACCACAACCTTACTGCTCCACATAACACAAGTGCATTATCTTACATTTCTGGAGGTCAGAAGTCTCAATGAAGTAAAATCAAGGAGTAATAGGGCTCTATTCATTGTAGACTTCAAGAGAGAGAATCTAATATCGAGCATTCCACCCTTCTGATGTTCCCACATTCCTAGCAGCATGGCTCCTTCCTCCATCACTCCAGTTTCCATGTCCATTGTCCCAGGTCCTTTTTGGCTGTTACCTTCCTCCCTCCCTATTTTAAGGACACTTGTGATTATGATGGTCTCACCTAGATAATTCAGGTTACTCTCCTAACCCCAAAATTCTCAACCATGTCTGCCAAGTTATTTTTGACATATTAATAAGTAATGATGATAGATTTCAGATATTAGGACAGTGATGTCTTTAGTGGGTGTATTATTCATTGCACAAACAACTCTCATCATTCACACAATGGTCTTCCCCTAAGGCAGAATAAAAATATCACAAGGCAGATTTATGAGGCAATTGACCTAGAAAAAACCTGAGACTCTAGGACTGTCTGATGTGTGGATGTCAAATCCTGGGGAGATTCTGAGTCTCTGCTCTATGTGGACTCTATGTTGTGTAGCCATTTGTGGAAGGCTTCTGTGATTTTGTGACCTAGAGAAAATGAATCTCTGCTAAAATCAAATCTAAGAAAGATTGGCAAAGGGAATTTAAAGATTTCCTAAATTTTTGGAATTTCCCTATGCATTAAAACTTGAGAAGTGGCAATAATTCAAACAAACGATGCCCTCCAAAAATGAGGATTTTTCCAATGCATTAGGTTGGATCCCCTCAGTGAGAAGGATGCCAAATATTCGCATGCAGGCAGTATATTTACAAAGCGTGGGAAACAAGCAAGTGAGCAAGGGAGGGGAGGAGGGAAAGGGAAAATGAAAGGTGCCTCAGAAGGAGCCACCTATGAGGATGATGAGAGCTCAAGCCCACATAGAAATACAGGAAAAATGACTCTGTTATTCCACCTGAGAGGTGAGGGAGCTGGGGGATGTGTACCCCTCCCTTGTCATCACTGATTGACAGCCATCCTAGGGGATGCTAATTCCAGGCCATGAGGTCTGCCTCATTTGCAGCCTGAGCTGCTTCCCCAGGTTCAGATAGAGCAGTGAAGGGGAGAAAGGGCCATAGAGAGTCAGCTGAAGTATAATGACTAGAATCCCCAAGGCGTAGTAACAATGACTGCTAAAATTATGCACAAAGAAAAAGCGCATTTGAATTCAGACATGTGTCTTTCTGAATCTGGATATATGGATCCTGGCAGCCTGTTCAGTAGCCATTTCCCAGAAATCTAGTCCTCTGGAAAAGCAGCAGGAGGTTTGTGCACAGGCTGCACTACCTTGGTCTGGCCACTGGTAGTCGTGCATGAGAACTACTCCCTGGAGTATTTCTCAGTCCACTGACACTGATGTAATTGGCTCCACTTCCCCTGCTGTTGAGCCAGGCCCACACGCCCTGGACAAAGGCATCTGTGTGAAGTATTGAGGTTCAAATCAGTGCTTAAGATATGTTTGGATGCAAAATATTTTTTCGTCTGCATGGGCAGTCTCTTGGCACAAGATGGAGATTCTCTCTAAATGGATGTGAGAGAGGGTGGCTGACATCTGGGTCAGGATGATGCCGTGGTGCATGGCAAGAACACGCATTGGGCAGCAGCTGCCCTCGCTAAGGAGAGAGGTTCACTGACCTGGCTTTTCCCCACTCACCTGCTCTCCAGAAAGCCAGACTCTAGGGCAGATTCACCTGAGACCCCAGGAACAGGCTGGTGGGGAGTGCAGCTCACAGCATTACTCAGGGGATGTGGCCTTTGTCATCCTACTTTGAAACAATTGACTATTTGAGCCTAGATTGATAGAGGGCTTCAAGTTGATTTTAATCCAGGCTTCTATAGTCAGCGAGTGAAACAGAGATTTTAGTTGAAATAATGAGACTTGGTATTACTAGTCAACACTCCATGCTGGAGAACCATAAGAAATTATACCAAAGGCAGGAAAGGGGATAGAATATGGGGATCATCACGCCAAGAATAAGGTGCAGCCCATTTAGCCCCGGAGTCTTAAAGAGACCCATAGCTCTGGATAATGGCATATCTATGCGTGACACAGTTATCATCTTTGTGCATCTTCAGAGAATTGTTTTTCCTTTTACTCCTAGGAACAATGTCTTAAGTTTGTTAGTAAATTCTATTGAATTTATTAAAGACGCTTCTGATAAATTCTTTTTATATTCATTTCATAAAAGAAGCAATTTCACACTGACAGAGACATTTTTATTATAGCACTAAATACTCTTACACTCATCAAATTCCTTTGAGACTAACTGAAATTTCTGACAGCCCCACATTCTACAATATTATTGTAAATTTTCTGCCAAAAATGATGCTTTCCTATACACTCCTAATACAAGTATAAATATATTATTTAATCTAGTCTTAGGTTGATTTAAAATTTGAAAATTCACTACAAAAATATGTTCTGTAACCATATGGCCACCAATGAGAAGTGTGATCTTTCAAGGTAAATCTGTGCTGCCCTGGTCTGACCTGGGACTCTGGGGATACTGCCCCCCTGTGCTGAGTTACTGAGATGAGCCAGCCCTGCAGCTGTGCTCAGCCTGCCCCATCCCCTGCTGACTTGCCTGTTCCTAGAGCACAGCCTCCTGCCCTGAAGACTTTTTATAGGCTGGTCACACACGGTGCAGGAGTCAGCCCCAGTCAGGACACAGCACGGATGTGAGGGCCCCCACTCAGCTCCTGGGGCTCCTGGTGTTCTGGCTGCCAGGTAAGGAAGGAGAACACTAGGATTATACTCGGTCAGTGTGCTCAGTACTGTCTGGAACTTCAGGGAAGTCCTCTGATAACATGATTAATTGCAAGAATATTTGTTTTTATGTTTCCAACTTCAGGTGTCAGATGTGACATCCAGATGACCCAGTCTCCATCCTCCCTGTCTGCATCTGTAGGAGACAGAGTCACCATCACTTGCCGGGCGAGTCAGGGCATTATCAATAATTTAAATTGGTATCAGAAGAAACCAGGGAAAACTCCTAAGCTCCTGATCTATGCTGCATCCAGTCTGCAAAGTGGGATTCCCACTCGGTTCAGTGACAGTGGATCTGGGACAGATTACACTCCCACCATCAGCAGCCTGCAGCCTGAAGATTTTGCAACTTACTACTGTCAACAGAGTGACAGTACCCCTCCCATAGTGTTACAAGTCATAACATAAACCCCAAGGAAGCAGATGTGTGAGGCTGAGCTGCCCCAATGCTCCTTCTGGTGCCTCTATCTGCTGAGGGAAGTTCTCAAACTCAGTCAGGTTTGGAAAGTCATTGGGAGATTTTCCTAGAGGAGGCCAGGGAGGTTCCTCTGAACCCTAAGCCTCTTTCGCCCTCATCCCCAGCAGAAAAGACGTGACAATGCCTGTCCTGACTGAATAAAGAAGAGAGATAAGTCCAGCTGAGGAGTCTGTGTTATGGGATAATAGGAATTTGTACAGCAAAAGAGAAGCTATTCTCAGTATTTCAAGGAGAAATTATTCAAGCTGAATAAATTAAAGTCTAAACCACAGTCCTTCCGAAGCCTATGAAGTGTTATTCATGAAGCAGGTACTAGACACAGGGGATTCTCAGGTGCTACTTCAGAAGCCAACGTGCACCTGCCCCTGGTGGTATGTGCTGAACACCGTGTGATGATCCTCAGTCCTGTCTGGGAATCCCAGGGCTGGGGGTGCTGATGCTCTCAGCTGCCTGCAGCGCATCTCCAGGTGATTCTCCAGTCCACACCTAACTGCATATGTTTTACTTCAGGTGTCAGTGTACATGAATCCACCACTCTGACTTCCCAATCTCATGACAGTAATTAGTTGTAATTTATTGTAACCTCATGGAGCTATTCTAAAGAAATCATAGAGAGAAAAGGAGTTTTGGAAAATGTGCTCCCAGAAGTGATAGTAATGATGGGGAATTGACAGCTGATGGGGAAGTAAGGTGACTCTTTCCACAAGGCTTAACGTTTCACCAGTTATGAATTGTTGCAAAATACATTTGAATGTGCTTTCAAGTATTACCAGTTTGGGGTCATAGCTGAAAAACTTTATTAAGTCACAGATAAAATGGGAAAATCAGGAAATTGTATGAAATATACAATAACACTGTGTGTGACAGCTCAGGTCTGTAATCCTGTGATAGTTAATACTGACTGTCAACTTGACTACATTGAAGGATGTAAGCATTGCTCCTGGGTGTGTCTGTGAGGGTGTTTCCAAAGGAGATTAATATTTGAGTCCGTAGTCTGGGGAAGGCAGACCCCCTACTTAATCTATGGGCACCACTTAATCAGCTGCCAGTGAATATAAAGCAGGCAGAAAAAAGTGAAAAAGTGAGTCTGGCCCAGCCTCCCAGCCTACATCTCTCTCCCGTGCTGGATGCTTCCTACCCTTGAACATCGGACTCCAAGTTCTTTAGTTTTGAGACTCGAGCTGGCTCTCCTTACTCCTCACTCCTCATGCCTGCAGACAGTCTACTGTGGGACCTTGTGAACTGTAAGTTAATATGTAATATATATAATACATATATTATATATTATATATATGGTATATAATATATATATATAGAACTTATTAGTTCTGTCCCTCTAGAGAACCCTCACTAATACAGATTTTAGTACCAGGAATAGTTCTGCAGGAACAGAATATTAAGGTTGGAGTTCTTTTGTTGGTTTTGGGGTTTCTGGATTTGGCTGCTAAATATGACTAGATCCCAAAATGCTAAGGACTCTACTTTTAATAGTGTAGAGAACATTGACAGTTCTTGGCATGAAAGGTTTAAAGAGCTATGCAAAACAAATTCATTTGACCCTAATGAATCATCGCTCGTGAGAGGCAAGGAGTTTAGTGACTCTGTACCTATTACCTTTGACAAACACCTTGCAAAATAGATTTGTGAGGACAGCACCTGCATCTTTGAAGAGCCCTGTAAAGGCTCTTCTCTGTATGTCAGATCTAATGGTGAGAACTGCAGTCACTCAGTTACAGAAGTTAAATACAATTTGGAATAATTGGATCCTGAAGTGGCAGGGGCCAAGTGGTAGCACTCAACCCTCAAAGGCACGGTGGGCGTAGCTACTGTAATGGGCAGAAAAGACAAAGCAGCAATCTGAACAGTCTGACTCATGTAGAGCTCTGGCATTGGCTAACTAATCACAGTGTTCCTAGAAGTGAAACTGACAGGAAGACTAATGTATTCCCACTTAATTTATGTAAGGAGGAAACTTAAGGTCAAACACATAAAAGACTAATTGGAACTATAAAAACAGAGATTCATGGCCCCTCAATCAATTTCCAGCCTTGAGACAGTTTACAGACCCAGAACCCCTTGAATGAAGGGGAGGCTGGGTCCCCCCGAGGTGTCCATGGCAGATAGGAATGCTGCTTTGAGGCTTTGGCAGGCCTCCATAGGTGAATCATGGTGGAGGCCTCATTTTGCAGCAAGGCCCTGTCATCTTCTCCAGTTAACTACTCTCCTTTTGAGAGACAGCTCTTGTCCTATACTGGGCTTTTGGGGAAACTGAACATTTGACTATGAGTCAACAAGTCACCATGCGACCTGAACTTCCTATCATGAACTGGGTGCTTTCTGACTCATGTAGCCATAAAGTGGGTCATGCACAACAGCACTCAATCATCAAATGGAAATGATGTTTAAGTGGTTGGGCTGAAGCAGGTCCTGGGGGCACAAGAAAGTTACATGAGGAAGTGGCTCAATTGCCCATGGTCTCTACTCCTGCCACCCTGCCTTCTCTCCCACGGCCTGCACTGATGACCTCATGGGGACTTGCCTTTGAGCAGTTGACACAGGAAGGGAGGACTAGGGCCTGGCTCAGAGATGGTTCTCCACAATAGGCAGGTACTGCCCAAAAGTGGACAGCTGAAGCACTACAGCCCCTTTCTAGGACATCCCTGAAGGACAGTGGTGAAGGACAATCTTCCCAGTGGGCAGAACATTCAGCAGTGCACCTGATTGTGCACTTTGCATGGAAGGAGAAATTTCCAGATATGCGGTTATATACTGATTCATGGGCTGTAGCCAATGGTTTGGCTGGATGGTCAGGGACTTGGAAGAAGCATGATTGGAAAATTGGTGACAAAGAAAATTGGAAAAAGAGTATGTAGATGGACATCTCTGAGTGGTCAAAAACTGAAGATATTTGTACCCTGTGTGAGTGTTGACCAACAAGTGACTTCAGCAGAGGAGGATTTTGATAATCAAGTGGATAAGATGACCCGTTCTGTGGATACCACTCAGCCTCTTTCCTCAGACACCCCTGTCATTGTCCAATAAACCCATGAACATAGTGGCCATGGTGGCAGGGATGGAGGCTATGCATGGATTCAGCAATGTGGACTTCCACTCACCAAGGCCGAACTATCTGTGGCCACTGCTGAGTGCCCAATTTGCCAGCAACAACAGAGACTAGCAGTGAACCCTTTGTATGGCATCATTCCCTGGGGTGATCGACGAGCTACCCGGTGGCAGGTTGATTATATTGGACGTCTTCCACCATGGAAAGGAGAGAGGTTTGTCCTCATTGGAACAGGAACTTACTCAGGATATGGGTTTGCCTATCTGCATGCAATGCTTCTGCCAAGACTACAATTTATGGACTCAAGGAATGCCTTATCCACTATCACGGTATTCCACACAGCATTACTTCTGACCAAGCACTCACTTTACAGGTAAAGAAGTGAGGCAGTGGGCTCATGCTCACGGAATTCACTGGTCTTACCATATTCCCCATCTTCCTGAAGCAGCTGGATTTATAGAATGGTGGGACGGCCTTTTGAGGTCGCGATTACAACGTCAACTAGGTTACAATACTTTGCTGGGCTGGGGCACCATACTCCAGAAGAGCATGTGTGCTCTGAATCAGCGCCCAATGTATGGTATTGTTTCTCTGATAACCAGGATTCACAGATCCAGGATTCAAGGGGTGGATATGAAAGTGGAACCACTCACTATGATGCACTAGCAAAATGTTTGCTTTCTGTTCCCACAACATTAGGTTCTGCTTTATTAGTCTTCTTAGCTCCAGAGGGAAGAACGCTGCTACCAGGAGACACAATAAGGATTGTATTAAACTGGAAGTTAACATGGCCACTTAAAAGCTTTGGGGTACTCCTACCTTTAAGTCAACAAGCTAAGAATGGAGTTACAATGTTGGCAGCAGTAATTGACCCAGACTATCAAGATGAAGTCAGTCCGCTACTCCACAATGGAAGTGAGGAAGAGTATGCATGGAATATAGGAGATCCATTAGGGCGTCTCCTGGTATTATCATGCACTCTGATTAAGGTAAATGGGAAATTATACCCAATCCAGGTAGGAATACAAATGGTCCAGATCCTCTCCGGGCCACGACCTGCTGAGGTGCTTGTTGAAGGCAAAGGGAATACAGAATGGATAGTGGAAGAAAGTAGTTATGAATACCAGCTACGACCACCTGACCAGCTGCAGAAATGAGGACTGGAACTATCATGAGTATTTCCTTCTTCTTTTGTTAAAAACATGTTTGTGCATGTATGCCCTTGTACTAAGAAAATATCTTCATTTCATTTCCCTTTTCTTTATCAGGTGACATAGATTTACTGACCTCATATCAGCATTTAAGTATTGTTTGCTTTATGTAATAGTATTTAGGTTGGGGATTGGTGCATTTCCAACTGTAGGAAGGATAGTTTATTATGTTAGGTGTAATTATGACCTTACTATTGTCTGTATTTTAAGATTATGTATGATCTCAGGAGATGTGTGTGGGTTGAATTTCACAAGGGGTGGGATTGTGATGGTTAATAATGAGTGTCAACTTGACTGGATTGAAGGATGTAAAGTATTCATCCTGGGTGTGTCTGTGAGGGTGTTGCCAAAAAAAGATTAATATGTGAGTCAGTGGGCTGGGAAAGGCAGACCCACCCTTAATCTATGTGGGCACAATCCAATCAGCTGCCAACCCAGCCATACTATAAGCAGACAGAAAAACGTGAAAAGAGACGGGCCTCACCTCCCAGCCTACATCTTTCTCCTATGCTGGATGCTTCTTGCCCTCGAACATGGACTCCAAGTTCTTCAGTTTTGGAACTCTGGCTGGCTCTTTTTACTCCTCATCCAGCAGATGGCCTATTGTGAGACTTGGTGATTGTGTGAGTTAATACTTAATAAACTTCCTGTATTAGCCAGTTACATCTAGAGGGACAGAACAGGATATATGCATATATATATATATATATATATACACACACATACACACACACATACATATATATATGCAAACACACATATATGTATTTATTTATAAAGGGGAGTTTATTAACTTACAAGATCATAAGTTACACAATGGACTGTCTGCAAACTGATGAGAAAGGAGAGCCATTGAGTCCAATGTTTGAGGGCAGGAAGAAATCAGCATGGGAGAAAGATGTAGGCTGGGAGGATAGGCCAGTCTCTCCTTTTCAAATTTTTCTGCCTGCTTTATATTTGCTGGCAGCAGATTAGATTGTGCCCACCAGATTAAGGGTGGGTCTGCCTTGCTCAGCCCGCTGACTCAAATGTTAATCTCTTTCGGCAACACTCTCACAGACACACCCTGGATCAAAACTTCATATCCCTCAATCCTATCAAGTTGACACTCATTATTAACCATCTCACTCCCCTTCATATATATATATATATATATGTATATAGTCCTTTAATTCTGTCACTCTAGAGAACCCTGACTAATACATCTACACTTCTGATGATCTATTTCTTTGATTTTAGGTCATTTATTTCCCCTAGGTTGCCTATTCTCGCTTCTTCCCACTCCCCTATGAAGGCCAATATAAGCCTCTGGACCTCACTAGGTCAGGGCATGTCCCTGCTTGCACTATCCATGACACTTTCCTCTTTTAGTCTTTAGCAATGAGGGAATGTCATCCTTACCCAGATGCCAGCCACCTGTCTCACATCCAGGACAGAGAGTCTCCATCTCCTCTCCAGCAAACACCCATGTATGTGGGCATGGTGGCATGCCCCTGTGATCCCAGCTACTCCACAGGCTTAGGGGGGAGAATCACTTGTGCCTGAGAATTCAAGGTTGCAATGAGCCATGATCACACCACTGCACTTCATGCTGGGTAACTGAGTGAGACCCTGTGATTTTTCCGCTACATTATACAGAATTTTTTTTTTGCCTCTTTCTTCTATTAATTTATGTTTTGTCCATTCACTTTCTGCAAACCTTTAGAGGGCAAATAGAAAGTTTACCTTTTTAACGTGGTGGCTCACGCCTGTAATCCCAGCACTTTGGGAGGCCGAGGTGAGCAGATCACCTGAGGTTGGGAATTCGAGACTAGCCTGAACAACATAGAGAAACCCCGCCTCCACTAAAAAAAATACAAAATTAGCAGGGTGTGGTGGTGTGCACCTGTGATCCCAGCTACTCAGGAGGCTGAGGCAAGAGAATTGCTTGGACCTGGGAGGCGGAGGTTGCAGTGAGCCCAGATTGTGCCACTACACTCCAGCCTGGGTGACAAGAGCGAAACTCCGTCTCAAAAAAAAAAACAAAACGAAACAAAAACAAACAAACAAAAAAACACCTACTGCCCCACTGAATTAAAGGCGTGTTCAGTAGCTTCTTTGTTATTTCAAAGAGTGGCATCTGCTTCAGCAGGGTCAGTTTTTAATGTATTTGTTTTGTTTCTTTTTTGTCTCTCTCGTGTTCTTTTCTATTTTATTATACTTTTTTAAATTTGAGGGATGAGGTTGTCATAGTACTGAATATCAAACAATGAATCCGCATGAATGATTCACCTTATTTTCTTGGTTTTAGTCCTCTATACAGGTTTTATATAGCAAAAGAACCATTTAAAGACTTGGGTTACAAATGTATTTTATTTTACCTCTGGCATGCCTCGGGCTGAGAAAGCATTATATGGTGGCACAATGTTTGTAACATTCTCATAGCCATCTGGTGGTGGTTCGAGGTATGACGTTTTGAAAATCTAGCAAGAATTAAAATATGTCAAGTTAGAGAGAAAAATTCCAGATTATTATTAAGATATAATTCATTTTGCCCCAAGTGTATACTTCAGATTAAGCATCCTGGAACTCGGTTCTACAATTAAATAGATAAATTACACTGACAAAAATGAGAAAGAGCCTTATCATTATTATTGTCTTCCTAATAATAGAAACTTTTATAAATGCATGCAATCCCAGGTAACCAAAAGTTTCCTTATAAAGTGTAACAGCAGAGCTTCAAAGGTGGCACTTTGGCAAGCCTCTTTTTTGACTATGCCTTTTCATCTTCCTTTGTGGGCTCCTTTTCTTTCATCTTTATTTAAATAATATTTCCCTATGTTTTATCCCCAGCCCATTGCTTGCCTCTGTACTGCCTCCCTGCGAGACTTCATTAAGTATCAGCATTTTACCAATAGCTAATATGCTTATGATGCTTACCTTTTCAGATTCTTATATTTAAATGTCTTGTGGTTATTTCATCCTGGATGTGAAAACTCAACATGTCAAAATGCAAATTTATCATCTCTCACCCCGGGCCTGCTTTTGGTCTGCATTTCCTACCTCTATTAATAGCTTCAGTCATTAGCCACTTACACCAGACAGTCTCGGAGTCATCCTGAACTCTATCTTTCCCTCCTTCCCCAAGTCAATCACTAATCAAGTCCTGCTAATACATTTCCTTACTATTTCTGAAATCCATCCCTCTTCCTCATTCTTACTAACATCCTAATTTAAAACTTTATTATTTTTACCTGGACTATTGTCTTAAGATAACAACTTTAACCAGTTGCTTAGCCTAGGTGTAATCCACAGAGGATCTTGTCTGTCTAAAATGCCCCTCTAGCCACATCCTTCCCCTGCTCAGATCTTGTCACTGGGTCCCATGAACTGAAGCTGAAGTTTAAGCTCCTTAGGACAACATACACTCCCTTCTATGATCTGTTCCCAGAACATATTTACTGGTTTATCTCATATCATGGCCCACTTTGTATTTTACACTTTTGAAATAGAGAAAATCATTACATTCTCCCAATAATACTAAGCTAGTATATGCCTAAAAGACTTTGCCAATATTTTGTCTTTTGTTGAGAATTCTCTTAGCTTATTTTCTCACGGGGTTAACTCCTTATGTCCTTTCATGACTCACATGTCAAGACTTCAGGAAACCTTCTCTAACTCCCAGGCTGCGCTGAGTGACACTTTTCTGGGTAAATAATGAACTTTAATCATACTTTTCATAGCACTTACCATACTAATTTGAAGTCTGAAGTATTCCATTGTCTGCCTCACTTTACTTAGGCAAAGGAACCATGTCCTAGTCTCATTCTGGCCTCAGGACTTCAGCCTGGGAGACAGTGGGAGACTGTGTGTCAAAAAAAAAAATTGCCAATGATTGAAGCCTAATACTGAAGATTCTGGTTTATTAATAGTCTATTGCTGGGTGTTCATTGAGCTTCCCAAGTGATTACTCATGTAGGACTTCAAACCAATAATTTAGAACCTTGTGACTCAAAATCTGGGGAAAAATAAGCAGCATCAGTATCACCTGGGAGCAGCTTCAGGTCTCACTTTAGATTTATTCTGAGTCTAAATATTATATTTTTATTAAAAAAAATTAAGAACAGATGACAAGCTTCAACTACATCTCAATTCTTTAGATTTACTTTAAAAGAATCAACATTTTGACACAATACCAAAGTGAACTAAATTCGCTTTTTATTTTTTTTGAGACAGAGTCTTGCTCTGTTGCCCAGGCTGGAGCGCAGTGGTGCAATCTCGGCTCACTGCAACATCCACCTCTCCAGTTCAAGCGATTATCTTGCCTCGGCCTCCAAAGTAACTGGGATTACAGGCACATGCCATCATCCCCGGCTAATTTTTGTATTTTTAGTAGAGAAAGGGTTTCACAATGTTGGGTCAGCTGGTCTCGAACTCCTGACCTCAAGTGATCTGCCCGCCTCGGCATTCCAAAGTGCTGAGATTATAGACATGGGCCACAATGCCCAGCCTAAATTTGCTTTAATTTGGAGAAGTACTGGTCTAGAAAACACAAATCCCAAGGAGACTCAGGTACTTAAGTTGATTTCTTGAGTATAAGTCCTTCAAATGAATTCTCCAAGATTATTTTTTTTTTTTTTACTTTTTAAATTGACAAAGATTATACATATTCATGGCTATACGGGGATGTTTCAGTACATGTAGATGGTGATCAGATCAGGGTAATTAGCATATCTATCATCTCAAACATTTATTATTTCTTTGTGTTGGGAACATTTAAACTACTCCTAGGTATTTTAAACTACATAATATAGTATGTTAACTATAGTCATCTACAGTACTATAGAACACTAGAACTTATTACTCCTACCTAGCTGTAATTTTGTATCCATTAACAAATCTCTTACTATTCCTCCTTTCTCCCTACCCTTTTCAGCCTGCAGTATCGTCTGTTCTACTTTTTACTTCTATGAGATCAACTTTTTTTTAGCTTCTGCGTGAGTGAGAACATGTGGTGTTGAAATTTCTATTCCTGGCTTATTTTGCTTAACATAATATCCTCCAGTTCCATCCATGTTGCTGAGAATGACAGGATTTTATTTATTCTTTTTTATGGCTAAATAGCATTTCTTGATATATATATACCATAGTTAAAAAATCCATTCATCTGTTGTTGGAAACCTAGGTTGATTCCATATCTTGGCTATTGTGAACACTGTTGCAATAAACATGGGGATGCAGATGTCTCTGCAATATAATGCTTTTCTTTCCTTTGGATAAATTCCCAGTAGTGGGATTTCTTGAGGTGTTTCAATATTGTTCTCCATACTGGCTGCACTAATTTACATTCCTACCAACAGTACGTAAGAGTTCCTTTTTCTCCAGCTACTCAGGAGGCTGAGGGAGGAGAACTATTTGAACCCTAGAGGCAGAGGGAGCCAGATTACACCACCACTGCACTCTAGCCTGGACGGAGAGTGAGATTCTGTCAAAAAAAAGTCCCTTTTCTTCACGTCTTTGTCAGCATTTGTTATTTTTGTCTCTTCTGTAATAGCCATCCTAAGTGGAGTAAGATGATGCCTCACTGTGGCTTTGATTAACATTTCCTTGCTGATTAGTGGTGTTGAACATTTTTTTCATATATTTGTTGGTCATTTGTATGTCTTCTTTTGAGAAATGTCTGTTCAGAGCATTTGTTTATATTTAATTAGATTGTTGTGCTTCTTTGCTGTTGATATGTTTGAATTCCTTGTATATTCTTGTTATTAATTTCCTGCCAGATGAGTTTATATTTTCTCCCATTCTGTAGGTTGTCTTTTCACTCACTTTATTATTTCCTTTGCTGTGCAGAAGATTTTTACCTTGATGTGATCTCATTTGTTTATTTTTTCTTTTGTTGTCTGTGCTTTTGATGCCTTATTCATAAAATATTTTCCCAGAGCAATGTCCTGAAGGATCTCCCCTATGTTTTCTTCTAGTAGCTTTACCATTTTGGGTCTTATATTTGGGTATTTGAGATACTTTGAGTTGACTTTTGTATAGGGTGAGAGGCAGAGGTTTAGTTTCATTCTTCTGCATATGGATATCCAGTTTTCCCAGCACCATTTATTGAAGAGACTATCCTTTCCCCAATGAGTGTTTTGGCATCTTTGTAAAAAATCCGTTGGCTGAGATATGTGGATTTTCTGGGTTCTTTATTCTATTCCATAGGTCTATGTGTCTGTTTTTATGCCAATACCATGATGTTTTGGTTACTACAGTTTTGTAGTATATTCTGAGGTCTGGTAGCATGATACATCCAGCTTTGTTTTTTTTTGCTTAGGGTGGCTTTGGCTCTTCAGGATATTTTTTGATTCCATAAAATCTCTTTGGATTTTTTTTTTAATTTTGTGAAGAATGTTCATAGGTATTTTGATAGAGATTGCATTGAATCTGCAGGTTGCTTTTGAGTAGTACTGTCACTTTAACAACATTCATATTTCTGATCCATGAGTGTGAATGTCTTTTCATTTGTTTGTATCCTCTTCAATTTCTTTCATTAGTGTTTTGTAGTTTTCATTTTACCTCCTTGGTTACATTTATGTCTGGGTTTTCTTTTGGTAACTATTGTAAATGGGTTTGCCTTCTTAATTTCTTTTTCAGCGAGTTTGTTGTTCATACATATAAATGCAACCAATCTTTGTGTATTAGTTTTGTGTCTTGCAACGTCACTGAATTTGTTTGTTCTAAAAGTTTTCTGGTAGAGTCTTCAGGTTTTCCTATATATAAGATCATGTCATCTGCAAATATGAACAATTTGATGTCCTCCTTTCCGATTTGAATGCTCTTTATTTCTTTCTCTTGTCTAATTACTCTTGATAGGACTTCACATTTATATACTTTGAATATTTAAAATGTTTACATAAATGTCAGAATCAACTTTCAGTTTTCATAGAAAAAGAAGACCCGACTTATTTTGTAGTTTTAATATTAATAAATTATTATTATCTGAGACAAGTTATTTAACAAATTAAACTGTCTATTAAAATATTTCACCACAAATAAATTCCATAAGGAAAATATCTACAACTGCTTTTATGAAAGAAAAAAAGGCTTCTCTACAGTTGCTTAGGCCTGGTGCCATGGCACACACCTATAAATCCCAGCACTGTTGGAGGCCATGGCAAGAGGATCCTTTGAGCCCAGGAGTTTGAGACCAGCGTGGACAACAAAGTGAGACCTCATCTCTAAAAAAATCAAAAAGAAATTAGCTGGCCATGGTGGTGGCGTGCCTGTGGTCCTAGCTACTCGAGAGACTGAGGAAGGAGGATCACTTGAGCCAGGGAGGTGGAGGTTTCACTGAACCATATTCACGCCACTCCACTCCAGCCTGGGCAGCAGAGCTAGACCTTGTCTCAAAAAATTAAGTTAGTTAAATTAAACATAAAGTTGCATTGTATTTAAGAAATTGGTAAAACAGAAAATGCTTCTGTTTTTCTTTTGAGTTGAACAATGAGAACACATGGACACAGGGAGGGGAACATCACATACCGGGGCCTGTCAGCGGAGTGGGAGGCTGGGGGAGTGATAGCATTAGGAGAAATACCTAACTTAGATGATGGGTTGATGGGTGCAGTAAACCACCATGGCATGTGTATACCTATGTAACAAATCTCCACGTTCTATACATGTATCTCAGAATTTAAAATGTAATAATAACAATAATAAAAACGACAAAAAAGGAAATGCTTCTTGTTAGAACAGATTACATACTCTCATTGATTTTTATAACAGCCTGTAATAACAGAATATCCACCAGGTGGCAGTAATATATCAGTTTCATCCTCTGAAATTAAAACTTTCGCCTATTCAGTAATACAATGGATCTTTTGAGCTCACTCTAACACGTAGAATACAGCAATTTGATTTAATAATTAGCCTTTAAATTTATAGTCTTGTATTATCACTTTAGTGGTTTGAATTATTTTGTATTTTAATATATTTAAATGAATTAGTCCTATACAAATTGACTAATTTGACATGTGAAGGTGTTTTTATTCAATTTTCAGAAGTTTAGCTTTAAAAAAATTTCTAAACTTCGATATCTGGTGAGTGCCAATGTTTTTATCTTATTAAAAGCTGACAGACCACACTATATTCAACTGAGTTTTTTTTTTTAACAAGGATGCAAAATCAGTTTAAAGGAAGGATATCTTTTTCAACAAATGGTGCTAGAGCAATTGGACATTCACAGGTACAAAAACTAAGACTGATCTAAATTTATACTTTATATAAAATTTAGCTCACATAAATCACAGGCTTAAATGTAAAATGTAATATGATAAAACTTAAAGTTGTGTATGGTAGCTCGTGCCTGTAATCCCAGCTACTACTCAAGTGGCTGAGGTGGAAGGATCACTTCAATCCAGCAGTTAGTGGCTGCAGTGAGTAATGATGGCACCACTGCACTACAGCTTGGGCGAAACCTCGTCTCAAAAATAATTAATAAATAAATAAATTCATTAAACTTTTTAAAATATAAGAAAACTCTTGAGACCTTGGGCTAGGCAAATAATTTTTAGGCTTGATATCAAAAACAAAATCTACAAAAGGAAAAAGTGATAAAACTGGACTTCATTAAAATAAATAAACCCTTTTTTTTTTTTTTTTTTTTTTTTTTTTACTTAGAAAGACCCTGTAAAGAGGTTGAAAAAATGAATTACAGACTGGGAGAAATAATTTGTATACCATATATCTGACAAAGAACTTACATCTAGCATATGTAAAAAATTCTCAAAACTCAATTGTAATAAATAAGGTATCCAATTAGAAAATAGGCATATGTGACCTCTCTGTATTATAACTTAAACCTCATGTGACTACAATTATTTCAAATGAAATAAACAAAACAGTAATACCTGTTTCTAGCATATAAAATAATCAGAGAACACAGAATTGTACAAAGTTAAATTATTGGGCCATTTACTTAATTTAAATATTTTTAAATGCGTGTACCCATTTTTCTTGAAGTTGTGTGCAAGTATGTTTGTACTTTTTTAACGATAATATGGTCACATGAACATTAAATTTATTTTTTAGAAGTTTATATTACCCCACACAAGTTCTTATTGATTCCCTCATTCTTAACACCTGCATAGTATTTCATTTTATAATTGATGGATTGTAGGTTTATTCTTTTAAAATCACTTGTGTTGTTCTCATTTTTTTTCACTAAAAAGTGTTGCAATGCACAAAACTAAACATATAAGGAGGGTCTTTTCTGGATCTCTGTTGAAAAACTTTGAATAAAATTACAAGTTCAAATCACAGGCACAATAAACATTTTAATTAATAGGGCTTTTATTCAAGATGTTAGTAGCAGTAGCAGCACGGCTTTATTAATATCCCTGAATCTCTCACAAAAACTGACTAAGGTTAAACCACAGAGACCCAGGGGAATCACCAATTTTTTTGGAAAAAGGAAAGGAAAGGAAAAAAAATGTTTAATGGCCCTGGGAACTGGAAAACCTAGAAACACAAGCGCTAACATCAATGTTCCTAAATTCAGAGATTCTTACTAGGCAAAAAGAACTCAGCAGATAATCTGAGAGCAGCAGTTGAGGCTGGCAGAAGGCTTCCTGGGCCTCAACTCATAGCTGAGAGTGAGGATGGCATAAAACAGGTGCTGTGAGTGGTCTGTTTCCTATGAATCCTACAAATTAACCACTCCCAAAACAAAGCCCTGTCCTAAGGAGAAGCTGCAGGAAGTCAATTATAAGTTGAGTTGAGAAGCACACTGAGGCTCAAGAAAAGGGAAGCTCCAGGTTAATATGCAAGAGAAGAAGGGAAAAGGCAGTTGTCTGCAAGTTCAAGAACAAATAATTTCTTTACCTTCTAGTTCTGGAAATATCAGGTGCTGTGTATGTAAAGCAGGAATTTTGGTTGAATATTATATAATTTTCTGACCCACTGTTACTAATCCAGTTTCCCCTGCACTCAGATCTTCCATGCTACAGACAGACTGACAGATGCTCAGCAAATAGTAGCTAATATTTTCTACGAAACTAGGTGCTAAACGAGTTTTCTTAAATTTCTACCTCCAGGTCTGTAAGTTGATTTGAAGCATTACCAGTTTCTGGTTCTGCACAGGTTGTTGAGAGCAGGACTTCTCTCCTCCAGTGGAAAGTCCACCTGCTCACTATCAACCATCCTTTCCTGCGGCCTTGAGACACTACTCAGTGTAGCATGCCTCCCAGTCTAGAATAGGCACACTCATCATCAGTCTCTCTCATTTTCTGTCTTATCTCCATTCCATCTACATACAGTTTTTGTTTTCCCCAACGTCTTTAAATAAACAACTGTACAAACACAACAATGACAACAGAAACCTTCTTTCCCCCAGTGTTGTAGTGAGCAAGGAATATATTTAACTTCAAATAAAAGTCAAAAACAAATGCTGGATAAAGCTGACAGAAAGAAATGCAACTGTAGGTGCTCTGGCAATATAGAAATGATACAACTAAGAAAAATGGAAGAAAAGGAAAGAGAAAGTATTCCACAGAATGATTTTACTGACTGCTCATCTGTAATGCCTGGGAGTCAAAAGATATTGTTTATAGAAATGTAAGCATACTTAATGGTACCAGGGGAATCAAAGTTAATATGATTAAATCAAAATGTGGGATGAAAAATCACATAGGGAGGACAAGAAAGAGAATACAGCTAATACTATTGTTCTTAGTTTAGAGACATTAGCTACCGTCTAAAGAAAGAGATGATTTTATGAAATTACATAAGGTAGCCATCAGAATAAAAGTTTAACTCTTCCAAGTATCACAACCATCAAAACATAAACAATAAAAACAAACAAGACAGCAAAAGACAAATATGTGCATATAAATCATAGCATAATATATTGTAATCAAAATATAACCAAACACAATTTATCATTAAAAGTAAGTGGGCTTGACTCTTAGTAGAGGAAAAAATATTGTTAGATTAAATGAAAAAGCAAATCTCAATTCTATGCTGGATATAAGATAAAGTGTTATGGAAAGTTTAGAAATAAAAGTATAGGCAATGAATAAAAGGATCTTCTCTTCATGCGTTAAGAGTATAAAACAGTAAGCAAACACATCATACGTTTTCTGTTTTTACACTTAAATGGCTGGAGATGTTACATCACTAGTATGAATTTACTTCAGATATATAAAGGATACACTTTTATGTGATTAGAAACAGCAATGGTAATAGTTAAAGTGAAAATATCATCTGCAATGACACTAGGAAGAAAGAGCCATTGTTGGGTACATAGTGATCACATTACCATGGAGCAATCTGTTCCCAACTGAAATGTCCTTGCCCTTCTACTGAAATCATGTAAGATTCTGCAAAAGTAGTGTTTACTTCCCCCAAATCTGCCGTTTGTGGGAATGGCTGCTATTGTTCTCCACACGGAATGAGCATCAGACCTATATTTAGCTGTTATATCATTAAGAGTCGTATTTGGCCCTTTCCAGAAGCCGTTATTTCAATTATATTTTGGAGAATTAGTCTATTTCCAGACAAATAATTTTTCCAGAACTTTGATCCATATGAAATGTCCCTTTGGTAGGGATCCAGGAATTGAGTTTATTTTTAATTACTGTAGCATCCTGGTCAGGTTGAGAAACAGATTACCTTTATATTTCCCTGGCATGTGAGCAGAGGTAGATTTAGCGTGAGAATGTTTGAAAGTTTATAGTTTTTTAGAAATTTTATTTACTGTGTGTCTCTTTATCAAAATAAAATTAATGTTGAAAAGCTATATTAAATGAATTATTTTGAGATGATCTCTTCCCCCTTCTTCCAATGAGAGGATATCCACAGATATGTCAGGAGC
The DNA here is from genome assembly GCF_000001405.40 of Homo sapiens. Taxonomy (NCBI): domain Eukaryota; kingdom Metazoa; phylum Chordata; class Mammalia; order Primates; family Hominidae; genus Homo; species Homo sapiens. The sequence continues at coordinate 11,457,552 of NC_000024.10, read as the reverse complement.
TTGCTTTACCTAGAAATGTGTTGAGGGCCACAGGTTTGGGTTCACCTAGGAATGTTTAGGGACACCTCCCCAAGTTGTTGAAGAGTGGGGTAAATGTAAGATAGAATTAGGCTCACAGAGGCCAGATGAGAGCATCATGTCACCCCAGAAACACAGCATATACCTAGGAGATCTGTTCTCAATATCAAAGTCTTAAGCACTGTAAGATTGCCTATAGACCAAGACAACAACTATATATATATATATGTGTGTGTATATATATATGTATATATATATAGTTAATAAAATCAGTTAATATATAAACATATATTTATATATTAACTTATTTTTATTTTTATCATCAGACAGCATCTTTCTCTGTCACCTAGGCTGGAGTGCAGTAGTGGAATTAAGGCTCACTGCAGCCTTGACCTCTGGGGCTGAAGCTATCCTCCTGCCTCAGTCTCCTATAGTGCTAGGATGAGAGGTGTGGGTCACCTTGCCAGGCCCAGGGCAATAACTATGCAATGTTTATATAATTTAGAGCAAAAAATATTTGGAATATGTGTGCATTGCTTTTTAACCTTTTCTATTGATTTACTTTATTAAATACTGAATAGAAACAACAGATTTATAAAATATTTATTTTATATATATAATAAGCACATAATGAACACCTGTGTCTCCAGTCTTGATTTAAGAAATTAAGCCAAAAGTAATCATAAGTGCTTATGATTACTTTTGAAGTCACCTGTACAACTTTTGCTGACTACATCCCCTTTTTCAACACTCTAACGAAGGCCACTGTGAGCACTGTGTATATTGAATTGTGTTGTATTTTAATACCGTGTGCACTACATTGTTTTCCTGGCTGTATGCTACTGCATTTAGTGGGCATAATGAATTATATCAGTACAATTCACTTTTGTCATTTCATTGTTTCAGCTTTTCTGTACTAATTATTGCCAATATATTTCTTCTGGCATAAAAACAGACACATAGGACAGTGGAACAGAATAGAGATTGCAGACAAATCTACACATTTACAAACAACTCACCTCTGACAAAGGCATCAAGAACATACACTGGGAAAACAACAGTCTTTTCAATAAATGATCCTGGGAAAACTGAATAACCATATGCAGAAGGATAAAATTAAACCCATCTTACCATACACAAAAATCAAATCAAATAAAAATGGATTAAAGACTTGAATCTGAGACCTGAAACTATGAAGCTAGTAAAAAAAAAAAAAAAAAAACATAGGAAAGGCCGGGCGCGGTGGCTCTCGTCTGTAATCTCAGCACTTTGGGAGGCCAAGGTGGCCGGATCACAAGGTCAGAAGATCAAGACCACCCTGGCTAACACGGTGAAACTCCGTCTCTACTAAAAATACAAAAAAAAAAAAAAAAAAAAAAAGGTTAGCGGGGCATGATGGTGGGCACCTGTAGTCCTGGCTACTCGGGAGGCTGAGGCAGGAGAATGGCGTGAAAAGAAAAAAAAGAAAGAAAAAAAGAAAGCATAGGAGAAATGATCCAGGACATTAGTCTGGGCAAAGATTTTTTGGCGTAAGAACTCGGAAGCACAGGCAACAAAAGCAAAAATAGACAATGGGATTATATCAAACTAAAAAGCCTCAAGCAAAGGAAACAATCAACAAAGTGAAGAGCCGACCACAGAATGGGACAAAATATTTTCAAACTATCTATCTGATAAAGGATTAATAAGTAGAATATATAAGGAACTCAAACAACTCAGTAATAAACAAACAAAAAATCTGATTGAAAAATGGGCTACTGAAGAGGCTGAGGTAGGAGGATTTCTTTTCTTTTTTTTTTTTTTTTGAGATGGAGTCTCGCTGTCACCCAGGTTGGAGTGCAGTGGAGCGATCTCGGCTCACTGCAGGCTCTGCTCCCCCGGGGTTCACGTCATTCTCCTGCCTCAGCCTCCTGAGTAGCTGGGACTACAGGCGCCCGGCACCAAGCCCGGCTAATTTTTTGTATTTTTAGTAGAGACGGGGTTTCACCGTGTTAGCCAGGATGGTCTCGATCTCCTGACCTCGTGATCCGCCCGCCTCAGCCTCCCAAAGTGCTGGGAATACAGGCGTGAGCCACCGCGCCCGGTCGGGATGATTTCTTAGTCCCAGGAGTTTGAGGTTACAGTGAGCTATGATTAGGCTACTACCCTTTAGCTTGGGTGACAAAGAAAGTCCTTGCTTCTAAAAAAAATAGTTAAAAATATATAAATAAATACAATTTAAAAATGGGCAAACGATCTGAACAGGTATTTTCTCAAACGAAGACATACAAATGGCCAATAGGAAGATGAAAAAATGTTCAATATCACTAATCGTCAAAGAAATGCAAATCAAAATCACAATGCAATATCATCTCACCTTGGTTGAAATGACTTGTTTCAAAAAGACAGGCAATAACAGATGTTGGCAAGGATGTGGAGAAAGGGAAATACTAGTACACTGTTGGTGGGAATCTACATTAATAAAGCCACTATGGAGAACAGTATGGAGGCTTTCAAAAAAGTAAAAATAGAACTACCATGTGGTCCAGCAATTTCCTTACTGGATATATATCCAAAATAAAGGAAATTAATGTATCAAAGACATATCTACATGCCGATGTGTACTGCAGCACTATTCACAATAGACAAAATATTGAATCAACGTAAGTGCTCATCAACAAATGAATAGATTTTAAAAGTCATATATGTACATAATGGAATACTGCTCAGATACAAAGAAGAATGAAATTCTGTCATTCACAGGAATATAGGTGGTGCTGGCCATTTGGCTTAACGTAATGAACATAGGCCATTATGTTAAGTGGAATGAGCCAAGCACAGAAAGACAAATACCACATGTTGTCACTCATATGTGGGCAGTAAAAAAGTGGATCTCATGAAGATAGAAAGTAAATCGTTGGTTGCTAGAGGCCAGCAAGGGGAGTGGGAAGAGGAGATTAAGAGAAGAAAATATAAATGTATTTATCACCACTAAACTGTCCTCTAAAAATGTATAGATGGTAAATTATATATGTATTTTTTAACTCAATAAAAGGTTAAAAAAATTCTGCTGTGTGTTTATAGGGCACATGTACAAGACTTTCTCTAGGGTTGTATCAGTTTTCTATTCCTGCTGTAACAATTTACCACAAATTCAGTGGCTTAAAAGAACACTTTTTTGTAAGATTTGAGTCAGTTTTAAAAAACACACACAAACTTATTGTCTTAGAATTGTTTTGGTTGGAAATCTGGCATGGCTCTCACTGAACTAATATGAAGATGTTGGCAGGCTGCATTTCTTTCTGAAGGCTCTAAAAGAGCATCTGGGTTGTTGGCAGAATTCAGTTCCTTGTGGTTGTGGATCCTCAGTTTCTTCCTAGTTGTAAACTTTGGGTCATTCCCAGCTTCTAAAGTTCACTGGCTTTCCTTGGCTTGTGGCCCCCTACCACTGTTGTAAAAGCCAGTAATAGCAGGCCACATCTTTCTCATACTGCCGTCTGTCTGAATCTCAGCATCCAGAAAATATTCTCTGCTCTCAAGTAATTATGAGATTAGATTGGTTCACCAAGGTAATTCAAGGTAATTTCCCTGTTTCAATGCCCTTAATGATAATCACATCTGTCAAGTCCCTTTGAACATGCTAACTTACGTTAGCATGTTCACCTTATCTGAAGACTAGGATATGGCTGTCTTTGGTGGGGGACAATTATTCTGCCTAACCCAAAGATACACAACTTGCATATATACAACTAGTTCATGGAGATGAAACATTTGCAAATCTACAAGAAAATGTTTTCTAAAATGAGCATTTCATATTAGACTTTCACGAGCACTGTATCAGAATTATATTTACTTCATAATGTTGCCAATACTGATATCAGATATTTAATTTTCTAGCCAGTTCAGGATAATGTGAATTGTGAATAATATATTTGTTCATTCAGTCAACAAACATTTTTTATCAGATACCACCGATATGCTGGAGAGTGTCATGGATCCTAAAAATATAGCCGTTATTATTTTTTTTAAACAAAGTCCCCACTGTGATAAAGCTTTTATTCTTTGGGACAGGCAGACAGTAATCCAGATAAATAAGTGCAAGGGCAAATTGGGGGAAAAATTGGAATGGAGAGCTCAGAATCTGGCCCCAGAGAAGGGCAGAGGGAAAGGGGACCCAGTTCAGAATCTCGGTGCGTCCACACCAAACAATTCCATGAGGGCTGAGGAGACAGAGCTGAAAGGCTTGTCTGACATCACAAGAGACAGAAAAGTGAGCCCCATTTTCATCTCTATCCTGACAATGTTCCTGGCTTGATTTCCTCCTTCCAGTAGACACAAGAGTCAGGGAGCGCACCCTGATGGTAACATTTTTTTCAGGGGCCTATGTTGGGGATCCTGGTGAGAACCTGAGTCCCTCACTGACCACGACAGCCCAGCATGGTCCCCAGAGCGTGGCCCAAGGCCAAGATTCTCTACCTCCATCCTGGAGGCAGAAGAAATGTCTGGGGGAAAATGAGAGGTTTTAGGTGGTTGGCACTGGGTGAGACAAAGGAGAAATTTTTTTTTTTTTTTTTTTTTTTTTTTGAGACGGAGTCTCGCTGTGTCGCCCAGGCCAGACTGCGGACTGCAGTGGCGCAATCTCGGCTCACTGCAAGCTCCGCTTCCCGGGTTCACGCCATTCTCCTGCCTCAGCCTCCCGAGTAGCTGGGACTACAGGCGCCTGCCACCGCGCCCGGCTAATTTTTTGTATTTTTAGTAGAGACGGGGTTTCACCTTGTTAGCCAGGATGGTCTCGATCTCCTGACCTCAAGATCCACCCGCCTCGGCCTCCCAAAGTGCTGGGATTACAGGCGTGAGCCACCGCGCCCGGCCGACAAAGGAGAAATTTTAAAGCTGTGTGTCCTGGGGCCAGGGGCGGTGACTCACGCCTGTAATCCCAGCACTTTGAGAGGACAAGGCGGGCAGATCACGAGGTCAGGAGATTGAGACCTTGCTGGCTAACGGAGAAACCCTGTCTCTACTAAAAATACAAAAAATTAGCCGGGCTTGGTGGCGGGCGCCTGTAGTCCCAGCTATTCGGGAGACTGAGTCAGGAGAATGGCGTGAACCGGGAGGCGCACCTTGCAGTGAGCTAAGATCACGCCACTGCACTCCAGCCTGGGTGACAGAAAGAGACTCCTTCTCAAAAAAATAAAAATAAAATAAAAATAAAAAATAAAAAAAGCTGTGTGTCCTTTGTTTCTTCATATTTTGCAGATTTTTGATGTCAAAATATTTTCATAGTCAAAAGAGTGTTAATAAAGAATGAATTATCTGTTATAAAAACCCTAATAGTGAATGTATTTACTAAGAAGTTAGATTCTATCTTTGGGTTTTTTTTGTTTTTTTGCCCCGTAGTTTAAAAAAAAAATAGTTTTATTGTATGGATATTCTACAGTTAGTGTATCTATTCACCTCTTGATGGACATTTGGTTTGCTTCCAGTTGTTTTTGCTATTTCAAATAAAGTTGCTACGAATGTTTGTCCAATCGTTTGGACATATGCTTTCATTTGTCTTAGGCAAATAAGCCGGATTTCAATGACTAGGTGGTGTGATATGTTTAACTTTTCTTTTCTTTTTTTTTTTTTTTTTTGAGATGGAGTCTCGCTCTGTCGCCCAGGCTGGAGTGCAGTCGTGCATCGCGGCTCACTGCAAGCTCTGCCTCCCGGGTTCACACCATTCTCCTGCCTCAGCCTCCGGAATAGCTGGGATTACAGGCGCTCGCCACCACGCCCGGCTAATTTTTTGTATTTTTAGTAGATACGGCGTTTCACCGTGTTAGCTAGGATGGTCTCGATTTCCCGACTGCGTGATCCGCCCGCCTTGGCCTCCCAAAGTGTTGGGATTACAGGCGTGAGCCACCGCTCCTCGCCAGTTTAACTTTTAAAGAAACTGACAAAGTGGCTGTATTTCCAGTAGCAGTGTATGAGCATTCCTGTTCCTTTGTGTTCTCACCAATGTTTAGTATGGTCAAGTCTTTTAAATTTTAGCTATTCAAATAGGCATGTAGCAGTATCTCATTGTGGTTTTAATTTACATCTCCCTAATGATGAATGATGTTGAACATCTTTCAATGTGCTTACGTATTATCCATCTGTATTCTATGATGAAATGTCTGTTCAGATCTCTATATTTGTGTTAGACTATTTATTTTCCTATTATTGAGTCCTGAGAGTTCTTTGTATATTTTGGATAACAAATGTATCTTCACCAGATATAGCTTTTGTAAATTTTTACTCCCAGTCTGTGATTTGTCTTTTTATTCTCTCAATAGTGTTTTTCTTTTTTCTTTTTTTTTTTTTTTTTTTTTTTTTGACAGAGTCTGGCTCTGTCACCCAGGCTGGATTGCAGTGGCACGATCTCGGATCACTGCAAGCTCCGCCTCCTGGGTTCACGTCATTCTCCTGCCTCAGCCTCTCTGAGTGGCTGGGACTACAGGCGCCCGCCACTACACCCAGCTAATTTTTTGTATTTTTGGTAGAGAGGTGTTTCATCGTGGTCTAGATCGCCTGACTTCGTGATCCACCCACCTCGGCCTCCTAAGGTGCTGGGATTACAAGCGTTAGCCAGTGCGCCTGGCCTCTGGAGAGTGTTTTTCACAGGTCAGATTAATTTTTATATAAATCATTTATTTTATTTTTATTATGTAAAATTTTATAATTTTTAATTTTATTTTTAATTTCCTTTTTAAAATGTAAATAAAATTTTAAGTGTAATGATGCAAAATTTTGTTTAAAAGTAAATGTATATAAAAGTGTTGATATAGACTAAAAAATTGAATAAGTAAGAATGTAGTTAGTTGTCACAATAGGAGTGAAGTGAAAAGCTTCCCCTTTCACCCTCTGAAGATTACCCGAAATGAACTGACCATACACAGATTAATAAAAGAAAGGGTATACAAACTTACTTAACCTGCAAAAACATGAGAGCTATACACAAAGTATAAGACTTGAAGATGGCTCAGATCTTAAACGCTCTCCTCATAGGCAATAGATATATAGACCCAGGATGCAGACATTATTTTGTAAGTAATTTCCTTTGGAAGCTGGATGGGACAGGCAAATTATGGGAAGGTGAGAGATGGAACTGCACAGGAAAAAAGTTTGTCTTTATCACTTTAATCTTATCATTACTAGAGAATATTTATGAATATTTTAGAATAATATATTTTTAAGCCCAAACCTCACCAAATGTTTTTTCTAAAACAAATACTTTTTGTTGTTGTTTGTTTGTGTTTGATACTGTGTCTCACTCTGTCACCCAGGTATGGAGTGCAGTGGTGCAACCATGGCTCACTGCAGCCTTGACCTCCTGGGCTCAAGTGATTCTCCTACCTCAGCCTTCCAAGTAGCTGGGCTACAGGCGTGCAACATCATGCCCTGGTAATTAAAGAAAAAAAAAATTTGTAAGAGACCAAGTCTCATTATATCACCCTGGCTAGTCTTGAACTCCTGGAATCAACTGATCCTCATGCCTTGGCTTCCCAAATTATTGGGATTATAGGTGTGAGCCACAGTGCCTGACCACATATTTCTATACTTCACTGAGGAAAGGAAGGTGCTAGGAAAATTGGTTAAGAACTATTTTTTAAAAAGCTATTAGTAGTGTTTTATTGTATTTTATTTTTTAATGATTGATGGATTTTTGAGATTGGGATCTCACTATGTTGCCCAGGCTGGTTTCACATTCCCAAGTTTAAGCAATATCCCTGTCTCAGTCTCCCAAGTAGCTGGGATGACAGGTGTGTGTCACCATACCCAGCTCCATTAGCAGCGTTTTTAACAATTGTGGTCCACTGAGTAAGAATAATTTTTTTTAAATTAAAGGTTATTTTTTAAAAAGCACATTTGTAGAAAATTACTAGCATAATCTGCCTAAAATAAATATACATATTGAAAAAATGTTTGCTCTGAAGAAAAAGAAATATATTCACCACGCATACATACATACACACACACACATGCACACACGCACACACGCGCACACACACACACACATTATGGAAGATTTCAAGACCAGGCAATAATTTCCACTCAATCCAAAAACAATGCAATCCCAGAGCTGAATATTTAGGTGAAAAATATATCAGGAATGGGAGGCATTCAGATTTAATTTTCGTGTTTTGGTAGAGTTAGGGTGTGAGTTTTCATTTAAAAATATTCTTTTTTTTTTGCTACTATTGTGGTTTCTGTATTGTTACTATACAATCTGTAAACTAAATAGTAAAGGAGAGAAAAGTGATTTTCAAAGAAGCTGGCTTGGGAACAGGTACTATTCTGGGAAGATGAAAGGTTTCACTTAATGACTGGTACCTGTGCCACTCTGGTTATTTTAACTGTTAACTTTTTAGCAAGAGGTTTTTCTTTTAAAAGACATCCTTTAATATTTGGGAAGCTAGTGCAATAGTACACATTGAGGCCCACATACCACACGCCAAATATTTAAAAGACATATTTCTAGCTAACCACTGTACATACATACATTTTTTTCTCTCTTATTTTCTTATTTAATTTTTTTCTTTGTCAACAATTTATGTCCACACATATCTTCTATCATCCCACTTTGACAAGTAATATTTTACCTTCAAAATGATGTGGAAGACTAGATCTGAATTAGAACCGTAGAACCTTGTAATTCTACAGGCAAGTTTCTTCCTAGGAAAAAATAAAACAGGAAGAAAAGGCTGGACAGCCTCTGGTTCAGGAAGGAAATTCGGGAGTCCCTTATAGCAGCATCTCTAGTACTTGGGAACTGAACAGACTTCTCGGCCTGTGAGGCTGGAATGGGCCCTTCTGGAGAACACGACAGAGAAGTTATCTACTGCCTTTGCCCCCAGGGCTCAGGCAACAGTTTTATCCTCCTTTGCTTGTTTCTGGAGTTAAGGGGAGGAGACAATGTTTTGTTTAGTGACCTCGACAGAAAAAGTGTCCTCCTGCAACCACTCATTTGTTACTTTCCTTCTTCCTGAATTGCCTGGACCCACTCCTCCTCCATTTGACTGGCTCTGTGCACTGATGTTATAGTCAGGAGATTTTTGGGAATTGTGGCTTCTAAAAATGTACACCGGACTCTACCCATAGCTGGCCCTGTGAACCTACACACCTGTTCCACTGTGTCTCCTTCTCATAGAGACACTCTTCCTGCTGAGTCTCTGCCCTCTGCTCCTAGAGGCAAATGGCATCTCCTACCCTATCCCTGTATGGCTTAACCTAAAGAAACTCTTTCCCAAAGGAGTCAGGTAAGGAGACGGTGGCTGAGTTTCTTACAGGCTTAAAGGAGACATCCTGGAATTTAGGAGTCCGTCCTTCCTTTCTGTCTCCCTGGCAGCTCCTGCTCCTGCTCAAACTTTAGCTTTGTCTCTCATCCAGCTCAGACTGTTGCTGGTCCTGATGGCCTCTGCTTAGCTGTATTAGTACATTCTTGCATTGCTATAAAGAAATACATGATAAATACCTTTAGTTGGCTCAGGGTTCCATAGGCTATACAAGAAGCATGGTGGTTTCTGCTTCCGGGGAGGCCTCAGGAAACTTTTACTCAAGGTGCAGGGAAAAAAAAAAAAAAATCTACCAGCACTGCACTGTGAGGCCCTGATCCCTGAGCTAACTTCATATTATTACCTCTACAGCAAGTGTCTGTGAGAACATAGATATATTTCTCATGTGAGTACACAATTTACAGAAGAAGAACTACCCTCCCAAACTGAAACAAAATGTCATAATTTTAATTTACCAGCAAACCTAGGTTCCTTCTGTGAAATGATCTCATTTGTTGAGTTTTAAAATTGACTAAATTTCCCAATTTCCAAATGAAAATATTTAGTAATCTTGTCTTGCTATGTGTTTTTGGTTAATATGATGATTAATTTTTGGTCTATCACTTAATATATTCCATGATTGCTTGATATGGATTATAAGGACTCACAAAATACTTTTCAGATGTCTTTAATTTTTTTACTTGGTGTAGATCCTGTAAATGAATTAGGAGTATTCTATTAACTCCCATGTATTCAGAAATCGAATTGGAGTGGTAAATTCTGTTTGAGCTAACAAGGGATATAAAAGGAAAAAAAAATAATTTTGTGACTATGTCTTCTATACATAAATTTTTCAGGCATCTTTATCAATGGCTTATACTAAAGACATTTTCTGGATCATGGGTGGCAGACAAGACATGTGGATAAGAGGCATTGTGTACACTACTGCATTTTATCATCTGGTTTATTTTTAAACTTTTATTTCTCTTAAGGAAGTTTTATTAACTGGTGCATCACCAGGCTAACAGTCTCTGGAACACTAAACTTACCAGAAAACACTTGTTGATTGAATTAACAAGAAGACAACATTAAAAAACAGTGGTGGCTTGTTTTTTTCTGTTTCAGTATCTTGGAGAATAAAGCCTAACTCTTTAAATTTGGCCAAAGATATAAAGAAATACTTGAGAAACAACTTTAGTTGGCTCATGGTTCTGTAAGCTATACAGGAAGCATGGTGGTTTCTGCTTCTGGGGAGTCCTCCAACACTTACTGGCAGGGTAATTTTGAAGAAGTCATGATAAGATGGTTGTTACAATTAAATAAAATAATCAAATTGGAACAGCTTAGTTAGCTGTCTTCCCTAAATGAATCACTGGCAAGTAAGAGTGTGATTGATTTTCCTACCTGTCCAGACTCACCCATTGAAGCTATAAGAGGGTAAACCTCTGAAGACCATACAATTTAGGGAACACTAACACCTCAGAAAAACTCTGTAAACTTCCTTCCTTCCTTTTCTCCCTCCCTTCCTTCCTTCCTTCCTTCCTTCCTTCCTTCCTTCTTTCTTCCCTCCCTCTCCTCTCTTTCTTTCTTTTCTTTCTTTGTTCATTTTTGAGAGAGTCTTGGTCTGTCATTCAGGCTAGAGTGTAGTGGCTGGATTACGGCTCACTGCTGCCTTGACCTCCTGGGCTCAAGCAATCCTCTCACCTCAGCCTCCCTAGTAGCTGGGACTATTGGCATGCTCAGCTAATTTTTTCCTCCTTTTCTTTTTGTAGAGACAGGGTCTCATCATGTTGCCCAGGCTGGTCTTGGATTCCTTGGATCAAGCAATCCTGCTGCCTCAGCCTCCCAAAATGCTGGATTACAAGCATGAGCCACTGTGCCCAGCCTTAAGGTTTTTTCATACAGGGGGAAAGAATTTGGGAAAGTAGGTGTGTGTGTGTGTGTGTGTGTGTGTGTTGGTTAGGGAGCCAACATATTTTTCTGCAAAGCTTGAATTCTGTGCCTCAGTTTTTCATTTTGTTATGTGCAAAATAAAGTCATATCCTGCTATAGATTTAAACCTGTGAGCAGATCCTACTCAAAACCTGATTCAAACTTTATGTAGATCTTTGTCTGTCTATGGCATAAGAATAAATTCTTCTGGTTTTCTTCCCTCAGAAAAATGGACTTAGACTTCCCACAAGCCTTCCAGAAAGAACTCACCTGCCTCATCTGCCTGAATTACCTCATAGACCCCATCACTATAGGCTGCGGGCACAGTTTCTGTAGGCCCTGCCTCTGCCTTTGCTGGGAAGAAGCACACACTCCTGCCCTGCATGCAGGGAACTGTCACAGCAGGAAGATTTCAACCAATATTCTTTGGAAGAATCTAGTGTCCATTGCCAGAAAAGCCAGTCTCTGGCAATTCCTGAGCTCTAATGAACAAATGTGCGGGATCCACAGGGAGACAAAGATGTTCTGTGATGTGGGCAAGAGCCTGCTCTGTTTTCTGTGTTCTAACTCTCAGGAACACTGGGCACAGAAACACTGGCCCACTGAAGGGACAGCTAAGGAACACTGTGTAAGTGATGACTCAGAGCACTTTGAAAGCTGGAGGGCAGCATAGGTAAAGAGATTAGGAGGAAGATGAAGAGCATGAGGATTAATCTATTCTTTACCGAGTGTCATGTACTGCCTAGGTATCAGTGATATAACTGTTATTCTGCTATCAAATCTACTGATAAGTGGCTCATTTAACTTATATGCACTCATCACAATGCAAGAAATCCTCTGAGTACTCCTACCATCATGGCCCCTAGCCATGATATGACTTGTCTCCACACTAGCAGAAACTAATCGAGTCCCTATATTAGGGATAAGTGACATTTATATATATATATAATTTTTACATATAATTTTTATATGATATATAAAATATAAATATTTATAATATATGTATATATATATATATATATATCTCACAATGCCAAAAAATGTTTTGTCTTCGAAAAAATCACAGTGCATTTGAAGAGACAAATGCATCTACAACCAGGCGACAACACTGAAAATAAAATTGTAGCAGTTTGAATAGGGGATTAAATGAGTTAATGTTTTCCTGGGGTTCAAAAAAAGAAACAGCAGCAAAAAATGGTACTTGAGACTGAAAGTTGGCCGGGCGCAGCTGCCATGCCTGTAATCTCAACACTTTGGGAGGCCAAGGTGGGCGCATAACCTGAGGTCAGGATTTCGAGACCAGCCTGGCCAACATGGTGAAACGTCATTACTAAAAATACAAAAATTAGCTGGGCATGGTGGCAGGTGCCTGTAATCCCAGCTACTCGGGAGGCTGAGGCATCATTGCATCTCATCATTTCATCTCATTTCATCTCATCATTCATCTCGTCATTTCATCTCATCTCATCATTTCCATTTCATTTCCATTTCATCATTTCATCATTTAATTTCACCTCATTCCATTATTTCATTTCATTTTTTCATTTCATTATGTCATTTCATTTCATCTCATTACATTTCATCTAATTTCATTTCATCTCATCATTTTGTTTCATTTCTTCTCATCATTTCATGTCCTCTTTCATCTCATCATTTCATCTCATCATCTCATCAACTCATTTCTTCTTATCTCATCATTTCATCATTTCATCTCATCATTTCATCTCATCTCGTAACTTCTCATCTCATTTCAATTTCATTTCATTATTTCATGTCATGTCATCTCATCATTTCATCTCATCACATCTCATCATTTCATTTCATCATTTCATCTTATCATTTCATCTCATCTCATTTCAATTTTATTTGTTTCATTTCATTTCACTTCATCTCATTGTTTCATTATTTCATTTCATTTCATTTCATCTCATCATTTCATCTCATCATCTCATTTTATCTCATCATTTCATCTCATCATTCATATCATCATTTCATATCATAATTTTATCTCACCATTTCATTTCATCTCATCTCATCATTTCAACTCATTTCTTCTCATCTCATTTCATCATTACATCTTATTTAATCTCATTTTATGTCATTTCATGTCATCATTTCATCACATCTCGTCTCATCTCATCTTTTCATCTCATCATTTCATCTCATCATCTCAACTCATTGCATCTCATCTCATCATTTGCATTTCATTATTCCATTTCATCATTTCATTATTTCATTTCATTATGTCATTTCATCTCATCACATTTCATCTCATCTCATTTCAACTCATCTCGTCATTTCATCTCATTTCATCTCATTATTTCATCTGATTTCATATCATCATATCATGTCATCATTTCATCTCATTTCATCACAACTCATCTCATCATTTAATCTCATCATTTAATCTCATTTCATCTCATCTCATCATTTCATCTCATCATTTCTTCTCATCTCATCATTGCCATTTCATTATTTCATCATTTCATTTCATCATTTCATTATTTCATTTCATCTCGTTTCATTATTGCATTTCATTATGTCATATCATTTCATCTCATTTCATTACATCTCATTTCATCTCATTTCATTTCATCTCATCATTTCATCTCATTTCATCTCATCATTTCATCTCATCTCATCATTTCATCTCATTTCATCTCATCTCATTTCAATTTCATCATTACATTTCATAATTTCCTTTCATTATTTCATTTCATTTCATCTCATTTCATTATTTCATCTCATTTCATCTCATTTTTCTTCTCATCATTTTTCATCTCATTTCATCTCATCATTTCATGTTATCATCTCATCTTATTTCATCATTTCATCTTATTGTTCATCTCATTTCATTTCATCATTTTATCTCATTATATCATCTCATCTCATCTCATTTCAATTTCATTATTTCATATCATTTCATTTCATTATTTCATTTCATTTCATCTCATCATTTCTTCTCATCATTTCATCTCGTTTCATCTCATCATTTCATCCATCATCTCATTTCATCTCCTTTCAATTTCTTTTCAATTTTGTCATTTTGTCTCATTTCATCTCATCATTTCTACTCACCATTTCATCTCAAAATTTCATCTCATCATTTCATCTCATCATTTCATCTCATCTCAAGTCATCTTATCATTTCATCTAAGTGAAATGATGTAATGGAATCATGAAATGAAATGGATAGGATGCCCTCAGTGATGTTAAATTTAAAAATTGTTTGTTTTCATGTATTCATTTTTATACTTATATGTATTTATATTTATATTTACTTATATTTCTTTTTACTTGTTTTTAATTATATTTTTACTTATTTATTTATAGACAAGGTCCTGTTCTGTGGCCTAGGCTGGAATGTAGTGGTGCATTCACAGTTCACTGCAACCTCGAGGAAACCTCCCACCTTATCCTCCCAGGTATCTGAGACTCCAGGTGTGCACCACCACACCTGGTTAATATTTTATTATTTGTAGAGATGGAGTCTTGGTATGCTGCCTAGGCTGGTCTCAAACTCCTGGGTTCAAGCAATCCTCCTGCCTTGGCAACCCAAAATGCTGGGATTACAGATATGAGCCACAGTGCCCAACCTATTTATTTATTTATGTATTTAATAAAGAAAAGGTCTCACTATGTTGCCCAGGCTGGTCAACTCCTGGACTCAAATGATTCTTCAAACTTGGCCTCTCAAAATGTTGGGATTACAGGTATGAGCCACCATGCCTGGCCTAAAAATAGTATTATATTTTTGCATTATATAATTTTCAATTAAGTAATATGAATATTCTGTACAGGAAATATGCCCTTAATTACATAGGAATAAACATTTGTTACACTGAGAAAAATCTAATAGAGCTAAAAATAAAAATTAATTTGGAGAGGTCATTAGATACTCATACATTCTTACGTTTATGCATTCTTTCATATATTCATATATTCTTTTAACTGTATCAATGGTTTGGAGTTACGTGTACAAAACCATGACCTATATGTAATACAACTAATAACAAGCACTTACAATTCAAGGCATATTATATACAAAGCTTTAACTTCTCATCATCAGATTTTGTTTTTTTTCTTTCTGTTTTGGCAGATACTATGAACACAACATTCAACTCACAGACACTATGGAGCCCTTACTAAGCATAAAGTACTGTGAAAGGCCAGAGCTAGGACAGAACTGAGACAGGGCCAGGGATAGGACAGAACCGGGGCAGGGTCATGGACAGAGAAAAACTAGGGGCAGAGTCACAGCCAGGGACATGAGAGGACCAAGGCCAGAGCCAGAAGTAGGGCAGAACCAGGGCCAGGGCAGGGACATGGCAGGGCCAGGGCCAAGGCAGGATCAGGGCCAGCAGAAGGACAGGGCAGGGCTAGGGTAGCACAGGGCCAAGGCAGGGCAGGGTTAGTGTAGAGCAAGGAACGGGCCAGGGTATGGCAGGGCAGGGACAGGGAGGTCAAGGGCCAGAGTCAGGTCCAGGACATGGACAGGGAAGGGCCAGAAACATGGCAGGACCAGAAAGGGG
Source organism: Homo sapiens (assembly GCF_000001405.40). NCBI lineage: Eukaryota > Metazoa > Chordata > Mammalia > Primates > Hominidae > Homo > Homo sapiens. Next base: position 11,441,798 of record NC_000024.10, on the reverse strand, counting down.
ACAGGGCAAGGGCAAGGCCAGAGAAAGACCATGGTAAAAACATTGCCAGGGAGGGTTCAGGGCAAGGGCAAGGCCAGGGCAGAACCAGAGCCAGGGAAGGCCAAAGGCAGGTCCAGGGCAGGGCAACACCAGGGTAGGGCAGGGACAGTGTAGGGTGAGGTTAGGGCCAGGGTGAGTTCAGGGCCAGGGCAGGGCCAAAGGAGGGGCCAGGGCCAAGCATGGCCAGTGTGGGGCCTGGGGATTGTCAGGGCCAGGGCCAGGGTCAAGGCTGAGTCAGGGACAGTGCCAGAACAAGGGCAGGGCCAGGGAGAAGGCAGAACCAGAGAAGATCCAGAGAAGGAGCAGGGCCAGGGCAGGACCAGGATAAGGCAAAGCCAAGGCCAGGGCAGGGCAAGACCAGTGAAGGGCAAGGCCAGGGTAGAAAAGGCCAGTGTACAGCCAGGCCAGGGTAAGAAAAGGCCATGGTAGGGCCAAGGCCAAGGCAGGGCAATGCTAGGGTAGCACAGGGCATGGCCAAAAACAGGGCAGGGCCATAGCAGTGGCAGGACTAGCAACAGGGCCAGGGTAAGTGCTGGACCGGAGCATGGTGGGGACAATACAGGGCCAGGACAGATGATGGCAAGGCAGGTCCAAGGTCGTTTCATGGACTTGATAGGCCTGGGGTCAGGCAAGGGCAGGGAAAGGGCAAGGCCAGGGAGAAGGCAGGGCCGGGGCCAAGGCACTGGCAGGGCAGGGCAGGACCAGTGCAGGGTGAGGGCCAGGCCAGGGCATGGAAGGGCAGGGCAAGACCAAGGAAGGACCAGGAGAGTGCCACAGCAGGGTCAAGGCAAGAACAAGGTTATGGCTGGGGTCAGGAATATGGTAGGGCAAGGGCTGGGCCCAGGATGGGACATGCAGGGCAGAGCATGGCCTGTGCAAGGCAGGCCAGAGCCAGGCCACAGAGATGGGAGGGCATCACCAAGGCAGAGTCAGGGTAGATTCAGGGCTGAGCACAATCAGGGCGGGTCCAGAGTCGAGGCAGAGCTAGGGCCCAAGAAGGGCCATGGCAGCACCAGGGCAGAGGAGGGCAGGGTAATGAATGACTGGGCCATGGCAGTGCCTGGTCAACTCCGGGGCAGGGCCAGAAGTAGGACAGGCCAGGGCCAATTCTCAGGCCAGGGACAGGGCGTGACAGGAAGTGCCAGAGCAGGGCTGGGCCAATGTAGGGGCAGGGCAAATCAGACCAGGAAACCTCCAAGTCCAGCTCTCGCCCTGCCTTGGCCCTGGCCCCTTCCTCACCTGACCTTGTCCCTGGTCCTGCCCTATCCATGTCCTGTGTGTTTGACCAGTGTTTTATAACCAGAATCCTACAAGAAACTTAAATCAGCTATTTTTGTGCACTTTTAGTAGAGATGGGGTTTCACAATGTTGCCCAGGCTGGTTCCAAACTCCTGAGCTCAAGCCATCTGCCTGCCTTGGCCTCCCAAAGTGCTGGAATTACAGGAGTAATCTGACCAAGTATTTAACTTCTTTATGCCTGTTTCCTACATTTGGAAAATGGGGATGCTTTAAGTACCTAGCACATAGAATTATTGTGAGAATCAATGCCTCACATATTTACATATTGATAAAATTATACTCATAGAACATTACTGGAAGCAGATATAGTATTAGTTAAAATTTAGTGATTATTTACTGTAAATATTATTACTATTGCAAACAGCATAGTATAGACATTATTACCACTACTATAGTTATCTTAAAAATATGAAATAAAAATTTTACGTAATAGCCTTATGTAATCTCTCCTGCTCTGTCCTGGCTCAGCCCTAGTGCAGGCTCTGCCCCTAGTCCGACCACATCCTGGCCCTGACCCTTTCCTGGTTCTACCACTGCCCTTGCCCTTTCCCATCTTCAGGCCTTACCATGGCCCTACCCTGGTCCTGACCCTGGCCCTACCCCAGAGAAGAGGTATGGCAGAGCCAGGGAAGGGCCAGGGCAAATAAGGGACAGGACACATCCAAATCCAGGAAAGGGCCAGGGCCATGACAGAGCCAGGGCAAGTCCTTGGCAGGGCAAGGTTCCAGGCCAGGGCCAGGAAAGGGTCATGGCAGGGTCACTGTATGGCCAAGGTCCAGGCCAAAGCCAAGGCAGGGGCAGGGTCAGGCCTGCATAAGGGCAGGACCAGAGCCAGTGATACGGCAGGGCCAGGGCCAGGGCCAGGGCTGTGCCAGGACAGAACAAGAGCAGAGCAGGGCAGGATCAGAGCCAGGCCATAGAGAGAGTAGGGCAAATGCCAAGGCAAGGCCAAGGTAATGCCAGGGCTGAGGCAAGGTCAGGGAAGGTCCAGGGCTGTGTCAAGGCTGCAACAAAGATGGGGCAAAGGCCAGGGCAGATCTAGGGCACAAGCTGGGCAGGCTAGGGCAGGGCAATGGCAAGACCAGGCCATGGCAGGGCCAGCCCAAGATAGAACAGGGCACAGGCAGGGCAGGGCCAGGGCCACAGCTGGGGCAGGACGAGGACCAGGACCAGGGTCCAGGCCAGGGCAAAGGTATGGCCAGGGCAGAGGTAGGGCCAGAGCCAGGGTCTGGGCAGGATCAAGGCAGGTCCATTGCAGGGCCAGAGTTCAGACTACAGCCAGAGCAGGGCTGGGACAGGGCCAGAGCCAGGACCAGGAAAGGGCAATGTCAGGATAAGAGTCATGGCAGGACCAGCAACCAGGCTAGGGCCAGGACAGGGACAGGGACAGAATCAGGGCTAGGGCCAGAATAGCATGCCAGGGTAGAGCCAGGCCACATTAGGGCCAGGACAGGGTCAGGATAGGGCCATGGTAGGGCCAGGTTAAATCAGGGACAAGACACCTGCAAATCCACTTCAGGGCCAGGGTCAGGGCAGGGCCAGTTCAGGGCCAGGACCTAGACAGAGCCAGGGCCAGCGCTGTCAGGGTCATTGACAGGGCCAGGGCCATGGCAGGACCAGGGTCAGGAGGAGGGGTCAATGCCAGGCCAAGGCCACAGATAGGACCAGGTCTGTGCTAGGGCCAGTGTGAGGGCCAAGGTGGGGTCAGGGCAGGGCCAAAGGAAGGGTAGAGCAAGGGCAGGGTGGAGCAGGCCCAGGGTAGCACAGGGTTAAGGTAGGGCACGACCAACCAGGGCCAGCCTTTGGCTGGGGCCGGGGCAGGGCAAGGGCCAGAGCCAGGGCAGGGCCAAGACAGTGGCAGCTCCAGGGCAGGGCCAGGGTTAGGACCACGGACATGTCCAAGGCCAGTGCCTGGGCAAGGACAAGGGCAGGGGCAGGGCCAGGTTCATCTAAGAACCAGGGACAAATCCAGGCCCAGAGCAGGGCCAGGGCAGGTACCTGGCAGGGCTAGGGTCTGGGACAGGGCCATGGCAGCGCCAGGGCCACAACTAGGTCTGTGCTATAGGCAGGTCCAACACAGTGCCCAGGAAAGGCTAGGGTGAAGACCAAGGTAGGGCCAGGGCAGGGTCAAAGCCAGGCTAGGGCCAAGGCAGGACCAGGGCCGGCAAGGCAGGGCCAGGAAAGCATAGGGCCAAGGCAGGGCAGGGCCAGGCCAGTTCCAAGACCTGGACAGGGCCAGGGAACAGCCAGGGCAGGGCCCGGGCCAGGGCCTGGGCAGGACCAGGTTTGGGGCTCGAGAAAAACAATGGCAAGGACAGTGCAGGATCTTGGCACAGCCAGGGTCCAGGACAGTGTCAGGGCAGGGCCAAGGCAGGGTCATGGCCATGGTAAGACCAGCAACAGGGCTGGGGCTAGGCCAGTGACAGGACCAGAGTCAGGGCAAGGACCAGAGCAGTGCAAGGCCAGGGTAGGGCCAGGCATTTCAGGGTCAGGGCCAGGGGAGAACCAGGGCAAGGTCTCAAGCAGGGAAGGGCCAGGGCCAGGACAGGTCCAGGGCAGGGCCATGACAGGGCCAGGGGCTGTGTTAGGGCAAGGGCAGGGCCAGAGCAAGGTAAGAGTTAGGGCCAAGGCCAGGGTAGGGACAGGGCAAGAAATATGGCAGGACCAGGGGCAATGCCAAGGCCAAGGCTGGGACAGGGCTGAGCCAGGGCTGAGTCAGGGCAGGGCAGGGCAGGACATGGTATGGCCAGTGCAGGACAGGACAAGAGCCGGTCCACAGAGAGATCAGGGCTGATGCCAAGAAAGAGCCAGGCTAGTGCCAAGGCTGAGGCAGTGTCAGAGCATGTCCGGGGAAGGGTCGGGGCCAGGGCCAGAACCGAGCCAGGGAACAGCCAAGGCAGGGTAGGGCAGGGAAATAGCATGGCCAGGTCAGTACTGGGACAGGGCAGAGCAGGGCAAGGCGATGGTAGGGGCAGGGCAGGGACAGGCCAATGCAGAGCCATGTTACACCAGGGCCAGGACACCTCCAAGTCCACTTCAGGGCCAGGGCTATGGCAGGACAAAGACCAGGGCCAGGGTCAGGGCCAGGTCTGTGCTAGGGCCAGCTCCAGAGCAGGGCCTAGTGAAGACTAGGGTGAGGGCCAAGGTAAGGCCAGGGCAGGGTCAAAGGCAGAGTAGGGCCAGGGCAGGGTGATGACACATCCAGAGCACAGCAGGGCAGGGTGATGGCAAGACCAGGGGCAGACCACTGCCAGCTCAGGGCCAGGGAAAGGCCAATGCAGAGCCAGGAAAGGGTCAGGGCCAGGAACAAGGCAGAGCAGGGCCAGGGCCATGGCACAGTCAGGGCAGGTCCTTGACAGGACCAGGTTCCAGGCCAGGGCCAGGGCAGCAGCAGGGGCAGGGCCTGGATAAGTGCAGGGTGAGGGATATGGCAGGACCAGGGCTAGGGCCAGGGCCAGGCCATACTGAGGGCAGGGCAAAAGTCGAGGCAGGGTCTGGGCAGGTCCAGGGAGTGGCCGGCACCAAGCAGGGCCAAGGCCCAACCAGTGCAGGGTAAGGCAGGGCAATGGCACCACTGGGCCATGACAGGGCAAGGTCAGTGCCAGGAGAGAACAGAACAGGCAGACCCATGGTGGGGCCAGGGCAGGGATGGGCCAAAGCAGGACCAGGACATGTCCAAGGCCAGGTCAGGGCCAGAACAGGAGTAGGACCATGACCACTGGCAGGGCCAGTGCCATGGCATGACTAGGGTCAGGACAAGGGGCAGGGCCAGAGCCAGAGCCAGAGCCAAGGTCAGGCCAGTGCAGGTTCAGGGCAGGGCCAGTGCCAGGGCAAGATCAGGGCAGGGACAGGGTAGCACAGGGCCAAGACAGGGTCAGGATGGGACCAGAGCAGGACAGGGCTGAGACAGTCCAGGTAAGAGTAGGGATATTACAGGGAAAGGCAGGGCAAAGCCAGGCCCATTGCCAATGCATCAGCCCTCCCTACAAGGCTCCTACCACCTGGCCACTGCTGCAGCCCATCCATCGCTGTAAGCCTGACCCCCAACCCTGGCTGCAGCCACCTGCCCTCCTAGCACGGCCACTCTCCTACCGCTCTGGCACACTGCAGTCTCCGTCGCTGCCACCCACCCGCAGCGAGGCGAGTCGTGGTGTTGCAGGCACTAGGTGTCTCCTCCTCCTCCTGGCATGGAGTAGCTGGGCAGGCAAAGCCAGAAAAGCCTAGAGGAAGATGAGAGCGGTGGAAGGGTTAGAGCCTCAACTTGTCATGCCGGCCACTGGGTGGCAGGGGCCAGTTTCAGCAAAGGCACTCACACCCACCCTCCAAAGTCCAGCCCCTCCTTTTGGCCCAAGCTGGCCGGGAACTGGGGTCTGGGGTGGGTGCTGGAGACACCACAGCACCCAGCTCCCCACTCCACAGGAACCATTGGGCCCACCAGGGCTGCACTCCTTGGGGAGCAGGAGAGGTAAAAAAAATTCAGACCCAACCAACCCTCCGCACCCAGGTGCCAATTCCTGTTCCGGACGCCTCCACACACAGGGCCCCATCCCCCGTGGTGTCCACAGGGGTGCCTGACAGCCTCTGAGGCACAGACCCAGAGTGCACAGGCCCAGGAACCACGGTGGGTGTGGGGGCTCTGCCGTGCTCAGGATTCCCACGCAAATGCTGCGTGCCTGCCGCACTCCAGTATGACCAAGAGTGGGTCGCCCTCTGGAGTGTGGAGTCAGGGAGAGGAGAACCACTCCTTCCTTAGATGCCAACTCTGCTGACTGCCGCCAGAAGTGCAGCCCCTGATAGCACTGAACTCGCCCGCCCTCCACTGCTAGTCCTACCCTCAATAGCGCCCCCCACCTCCGTCCCCCAATGCCGCCAGTAGCGTATACCCGATAGTGCCCTAACCTGTCCTCCTCCATGGGCATTGCAGCCCCAGAAAGTGCCCATAACCCACCCTCCCTGCTGTGGGCAGTGCAGCCCTGTACAGTGCTACCAACCAGTACCCCTAATGCAGGCAATGACACCCTGGATAGCGCCCCCAACCCACCCCACACTGAGAAAGGTACAGCCCTGGATAGCCCCTGTCCTACCACTCTGGTCGTGCTGCAGTCTCTGTCACCGCCACCACCAACCACAGTGAGGCAAGCCAGTGGGCCACAGGCTCTAGCACCCAGCAGCCAGGCACAGAGCAGCTCTCGCCAATGGCCGGCTCCTACCACTCTGACCACGCTACTGTCTCCGTGGCCATCTTCTTTGACTACAAAGGAATAAAACTAGGTATCAGTAAGAAGAGTAATTTTGGAAACAATACAATCACATGGAAGTTAAACACTACCCTCCTGAATAAATGACTAGCGGGTCAATGAAGATACTAAGACAGAAATTCAAAAATTTCATGAAACAAAGGGTAATGAAAACACAGTATACCAAAACTTGTTACGCAGAAAGCAGTACAAAGGCAGAGATTTACAGCTATAAGTGCCTACCATCCAAACAAAATAAAAACTTCAAATAAACAATACATCTTAAAGAACTAGTAAAGTAAGAACAAACTAAACCAAAAATAAGAAAATAAATAAGATCGTAGCGGAAATAAAATTGAAAGAAAAAACACACAAGATTAAACGAAAAGTTGGTTTTCTGGAAAGCAAAACAAAATTGACAAACTTTTAACCAGGCTAAGAAAAAAGAGACAAGATTCAAATAAATAAAATCAACAGATAAAAAAAGGAGACATTACAACTAATACTTCAGAAATTCAAAGGATCATAACTGGCTATTATATGTCAATAAATTTGAAAGCCTAGTAGAAATTGGCAAATTCCTAGATGCATACAACCTACTTAGGTTGAACAATGAAAACATCCAAGACCAGAACAGATCCCTAGCAAGTAATGAGATTGAAGCCATCAGAAAAAGTATCCCAGTAAAGAAAAGCCCAGGAACTCATGTCTTCACTGCTGACGGCTTCACACCAAACAATTTAAAGACCTAGTACGAATCCTCCTCAAACTATTTTGAAAAACAGGAGGGAATACTTCCAAACTTATTTTATGAGACCATTATTACTGTGATACCAAAATCAGACAAAGGCATCAAAGAAGGAAACTACAGGCTAGTATCTCTAATATTGATGCAAAAATCCTCAACAAAATACCAGTGAATCAAATTCAGTAATACATTAAAAAGATAATTCATCATGATCAAGTGGGATGTATCCCTGGGATGCAAGGGTCACTCAACATACAATGTGATACATCATATCAACCAAATAAATGAAAAAAAAAAAAACTATGATCGTGTCAACTGAAACTGAAAAAGCATTTGATGAAATTCAACATCCCTTCATGCTATAAATCCTCAAAGAAACGGGTACAGAAGAAACATATCGCAACATAATAAAAACTACAGGAAAGACACCCACAGCTAGAATCATATGGAGTGAGGTCCAGGCTGCAGTGTGCTGTGATCCCACCACTGTACTCCAGTCTGGGCAACAGGCGAAACCCTGTTTAAAAAAAATACATAAAAAGAGGTATCAGCCTCTTTTATAGGTGCAGTGACTCACATCTCTAATCCCAACACTTTCTGGGAGGCTGAGGTGAGAGGATCTCTTGAGGCCAGGAGTTCAAGATCAGCCTGGGCAACATAGCGAGACCCTTTATCTACAAAACATTTTTAAATATTTGCCAGGTGTGGTGGCATGTGCCTGTAGTCTTAAACAATTATCATATGACCCAGATAGAGTATTCCTTAGGGATATACCCAAGGGAAATGAAAATATACATCCACAGTAAAATTTGTACACAAATGTTCACAGCAGCATTGTGTATAACAGCCAAAAATTGGAAAAAAAGCTCAAGTGCCTATCAACAGAGGAACTGATAAAATATAGTGTATCTATTCAAAAGATTACTCTGCATTAAAAAAGAATGAAGTGCTGATATACGCTACAGCATGGATAAACCTTGAAAACACTGTGCCAAGTGAAATAAGTCAATCACAAAAGACCATATGTAGTAAGATTTCATTCTGTGAAACCTCCAGAAGAGCTAAACTCAGAGACAGAAAGTAGGCAAGTTATTGCCAGGGACTAGGGGAAAAGGGAATAAGGATGACTGCTAATGGGTATGGGATTTCTTGTGGACTGATGAAAATTGTCTGAAAGTATCTAGATACCTATCTTGTTTGTGCGATTCTGTGAACATATTATAAACCACAAAATTCTGCAATCCAGGGGTTGATTTCATGGTAGGTGAATTTATCTAATTTATCTTTATCTCAATAAAGCTTTTTAAAGACACTTTAAAAAGACATATCTGTATAAGCTACAAAAATAACACACTGAGAGACTAAAATGCTTAATTTTTCCATTTTTCTTCTTCAGCGCAATCTCAAGTCCAAAAGTCTTTCCTTCCTATATATGTATATTTTGTCCAGTGAAACAAGAAACTCTATTAACTTTTTTATTACAAATCAAAAAAAGCCAGGTGTGCTGGCTCACAACTGTGCTTCCAGCTACTCAGAAGGCTGAGGCAGAAGGATCATTTGAGGCCAAGACTGGGAGTTCAAGACCAGCTGAGGCAACATAGCTAGATCCTGTCTTTAAAAATATTTTTTAGGCCAGGTATGGTGGCTCACGCCTGTAATCCCAGCACTTTGGGAGGCCAAGGAGAGCAGATCATTTGAGATCAGGAGTTCAAAACCAGCCTTGACAACATGGTGAAACCCCTTCTCTACTAAAAATATAAAAATTAGCCAGGTGTGGTGGTGGGCACCTATAGTTCCAGCTACTTGGGAGGCTAAGGCACGAGAATTGCTTGAGCCGGGAGGGTGGAGACTGCAGTAAGGCCAAGATCATGCCATTGCACTCCAGCCTGGGTGACAGAGCAAGAATCCGTCTTGGAAAAAAAAAAAATATATATATATATATGTGTGTGTGTGTGTGTGTGTGTGTGTGCATATATATGTGTGTGTGTGTGTATATGTGTGTGTATATATATATTTAAGTTAAAACCCTACTGAAATGAAAGTAATAAAATATAATTCAACTTAATTAAAAAGTAGTTCCTGAAATATTAATTTTCAAACAATTCTATTTTAGCTTTGACTCTGAACAAAATATAAACCTCAATTTCAAAATATCACAAAGATTAGCTGGGGGCAGTGGCTCATGCCTGTAATTCCAGCACTGTGGGAGGACAAGGCAGGTGGATCACTAGAGGCCAGTATTTCCGGAGCAGCCTGGCCAACATAGGGAAACCCAGTCTTTACTAAAAAATACAACAAAAATTAGCCGGGTCTAGTAACCCCAGATACTCAGGAGGCTGAGGCATTAGAATCGCTGGACTCTGGGAGGTGGAGGTTGCAGTGAGTGGAGATCATGCCACAGCACTCCAACCTGGGCGACAGACTGAGACTCTGTCTCAAAAATATAAAAATAAGGCCAGGTGCCGTGGCTCATGTCTGTAATCCCAGCACTTTGGGAGGCCAAGGTGGACAGATCACTTGAGGTCAAGGAGTTTGGGACCAGCCTGGGCAACACAGTGAAACCTCCTTACTACTAAAAATACATGAATTAACTGGGTGTGGTGGCAAACACTTGTAATGCCAGCTACACCAGAGGCTGAGGCAGGGGAATTGCTTGAATTTGGGAGATAGAGGTTGTAGTGACCTGAGATTGTGCTACTGCACTCCAGCCTGGATGAGAGAGTGAGACTCCATCTCAAAAAAAAAGAAAAAAAAAGAAAACTTATATTTAAAGTTTAAAAAAATCACAAAGACTACAAATACTCATGTTTAAGAAAATTCCCACCTTTCTTGAATTAACAGTAATTCATATTTGCTTTGTCAAAAATGTAGATATTTGCCTGCCCCAACGGAATGAAATCCTAAAAGCCTAGTGTTCTCAAATGATGAAGAGAAAGAAACATGCATATTTTAATTTCGAATTTTGATTCAGAAATAATTTTAACCTAGCTGGAGTATACATAATCATTTATGTATTTATTTACTTATTTAAGAGACTGGGTTTCGCTGTGTTATCCAGGCTGGAATGCAGTGGCACAACCTTGGCTCACTGCAACTTGTACTTCCTGAGCTCAAGCGATCCTCCCACCTCAGCCTCCAGAGTAGCTGGGACTGCAAATGCACGCTACCACACTCAGCTAATTTTTGCAGAGACGAGCCTCGCTATGTTTCCCACACTGGCCTCTAACTCCTTGGCTCACTACAGCCTCAAGCCCCTGGGCTCAAGCAATCTGCCTCCCAAAGTGCTGAGATTACAGGAGTGAGCCACCACAACCGGCCTAGTGGATAGTGTACACTAAGCAACATATACCCTGCTTTTGCCTAGAACATACTGAAAACATGGCATTAAAAACAATCACAAAAGTTGGGAGCTGAGAAATATCATATACTGTAAAACAAATCTGACAGATATTAATCTCAAGAAGCTCCTGAAAATGTCTCAAGAACTCCTATGTTGCACTATCCCTAATAATTTAGACTTTCTGCAGATATTTTCTGATCATCTACCGTGTGCCAGGCATCATGCCAGGTACCAAGATGCCATGGTAAGGTATACACAAAACCGGCTCCTGCTTGCAGGGAGCCTACTCTCTAAAGCAGTGCTTGCCAAGCTCGACTGATCACAACTTGGGAGCTTAAGTTCCAAATCGGCTTCCCTGCTTTGGTGAGCCACAATCCGAGGCATTTTTATCAGGTGCTCCCAATGATTCCTACGCTCTAACGGGTTTGGGAGGTAAGGGTGGGGGTAAGCTGGAGAGCCCAGAGCCATCCCGTCCAGCGGGAGCCCCACCTCTAAAGTCCATGTCTCTCAGCATCCTTCCCCCTGACTAGTGGCCCAAACACAGCACGAAGCTGAGGTGGGTGGAACACTTTCCAAAACAGCGCTCTGTGATGAGCCACCGACAGTCTTGCTCACCTCCGGGGACGAACAGCTCACTCCTCACAAACCCCACCCGGGAAAGGTGGCACCTGAGCCTCCCGGGCTGTGCCAACACCTGTCTCCCCGCGGGTGCCGCCTACTGCTCCGGTGGACTCCATTCCCCAGGTTCCGACCCACGGGGACTGGGGGGAGAGGGGAGGTGCTGCGTGCATTAGGCGCCGACTGTACACCGAGCCCCCCCTCCGGTGTGCACAGGCCAACACCCATACACACCCTCACACACCCACACACACCCACACACACTCCCGTGGAAACTGAGGCAGGCAGGCGGCGGACCAGGTCCCGCCGCCTGACGGCTCGCGGCTGGGATAGAACCCGGACTGGGAGATGCCTTCCACCTCACAGGCGCTCCTCAGCCTCTGAGGCCTGGCCTGGCTCCCACCACCGGAGTTTCACAAAGAAAGTCTCCCGGCCCGAGCCCTTCACGCACTCACCGGCGCTGAAGCCAGCGACGACTCGGGCTCCCGCTGCCTTCAGCTCCTTGCGGGGGTCAGCCCTTGGGTAGGCTTGGGCGCGGGCGGTGGCGACTGCTCCATATCCACAGGGTCCGGGCCACGTCCGCCTCGAGCTAACGGTCCCGCCAGCTAGCCGCGCGCGCCAGTTCCGCCCGCCATGTTCCCGCCGTGCTGCGCGCCGCCACGGCGACCCTCACTGCCCCACAACCGCGTGCGCCCCCCCTTCCGCGCGAGCCCTGCCTCGAGCCCTCTGGAGCTGGCCGCTGTTCCCAGTGTCTCGCCCACCCCCGCCGGGCCTGTCGGACATGGCAGGTGAGCGCGTGGTTCCCAGCTCCGCACCGCTGCCTGCCCTTCTGCAGACCACCCCGGACCCGACACCTCGGCCACTTCCCCACAATGCCCCTTTCGCTTCCCCCACGACGCGGGGCCTAGGACGAGGGTCTGGGCCAAGAGGAACTTCCCCGCAAGAAGTTCGGAGCTAAGGACGCTACTAAGGGGGTGGGTTCGCCACCGTGGAGGTGTGCAAGCACGTGCCTGCGTCCCGGAGACAGCCAGACTCAACAGGAAAAGCTGAGTTCAAGTCCCACATCTCCACTAACCCTTGCGTGTTAGGGTCAGGGCTTCGGGACTTGTTTCTCCTAAATCTTTTTTTTTTTTTTTTTTTGAGACAGTCTCGCTCTGTCACCCAGGCTGGAGTGCTGTGGCACAGTCTCGGCTCACTGCAAGCTCCACCTCCCGGGATCATGCCATTTTGCTGCCTCAGCCTCCTGAGCAGCTGAGACTACAGGCGCCCGCCACCGCCTGCTAATTTTTGTCTTTTTAGTAGAGGTGGGGTTTCACCGTGTTAGCCAGGATGGTCTCCATCTCCTGACCTCGTGATCCTCCTGCCTCAGCCTCCCAAAGTGCTGAGATTACAGGCATGAGCCAGCACGCTCAGCCTGTTTCTCCTAAATCTAAAGACTCAATATGATAATCAAGAGAATGCCTCAGCACCACACCTAGCTCTTAGTAGGTAGTGATCAAGAGAGAAGACCTCTTAAGTGGTTTTAATGGTTAAGGACCACAGGTTCTCAAGAAAGGGAAATCTCAATTCAAGTCCCGCCTCCATCGCTCGGAAACTGAGAAACCTTGAACAAGTCACTCAGAGGAGCCAAAGATCCTTGACTTCTACATGTGCAAAAGGGGAGTGTGGCAGTAGCACTTCACAGGGTTGACTGAGCTTTCATTGAGATGATGACTGTATGATCATGACTCTCTTAATCACGGGATGGTTCTGAGAAATGCCTCCTTTGGTGATTGCAGCATTGTGCAAACAGCAAAGTGCATTTACACAAACCTGGTATAGCCTTGTATAGCCTACTAAACACCTAGGCTGTATGTCATAGCCTATTGCTCCTAGGCTACACACCTGTACAGTCTGATACTTTACTGAATATACCATAAGCAGTTGTAACACAATGTAAGTACTTGAGTACCTGAACATAGAGAAGGTACAGTAAGAATAGAGTATAAGAGATTTTAAAATGGTACTCCTGTATAGGGCACTTACCATGAAAGGAGCTTGCAGGACTGGAAGATGCTGTGGTGAGTCAGTGAGTGTGAAGGCATAGGACCTTACTGTACACTACTGTAGACTTTATAAACACCATATGCTTAGGCTACACCAAATTTTTTTAAAGCTTTTCTTCAATAAATTAACCTTAGCTTACTGAAATGTATCTTAAAAAAATTTGCCAGTCGTGGTGTCTCACACCTGTAATCCCAGCACTTTGGGAGGCCGAGGCAGGCAGATCATTTGAGGTCAGGAGTTCGAGACCATCCTGGCCAACGTGGTGAAACCCTCATCTCTACTAAAAATACAAAACTTAGCCAGGCATGGTGGTGTGCACCAGTAATCCCAGCTACTCAGGAGACTGATGGAGGAGAATCGCTTGAACCCAGGAGGCAGAGGTTGCAGTGAACCGAGGTTGTGCCCCTGCACTCCAGACTGGGCAATTACACGCATGGAGCTGTCATCTCCTGTGATAACAATGCCTTCTTCTTCCAGAACACTTCCTGAAGGACCTGCCTGAGGCTGTTTTATAGTTAACTATTTTTTAATGTAAGTAGAAGACATACATTCTAAAATTATGAAAAACACTAAATACACCAGGGCTGGGCACAGTATCTCATGTGGGTAATCCCAGCACTTCGGGAGGCTGAGGAGGGCAGATCATTTGAGGTCAGGAGTTTGAGACCAGCCTGGGCAGTGTGGTGAAACCCCATCACTGCTAAAAATACAAATATTAGCTGGCTGTGGTGGTGGGTGACTCTATTCCCTGCTACTCAGGAGGCTGAGGCAGAAGAATCTCTTCAACCTGTGAGGCAGAAGTTGCAGTGAGCCAAGATCGTGCCACTGCACTCCAGCCTGTGCAACAGAGCAAGACTCTGTCTCAAAAAAATAAACCAGTAACATAGTTGTTCATTATCAAGTATTATATATTGTATGTAATTGTACATGCTAGGCTTTTATAGAACTGGCAGCACAGATTTGTTTACACCAGCATCACCAGAAACACAGAAATGCATTATCCTAACATTACAATGGCTATGTCACTAAGCAATAGGAATTTTTCAGCTCCATAGTCATCTTATGGTCCACTGACTTACATGTGGTTTGTCATTGACTAAAATGTCATAATAAAACACATGAATGCATATCCCAGGGCCCAATGCCTGGCACACACAAAGCTGAGTTTCACTGGTGTAATTCCCACCCTATCCATCCAAGACTCCTAAAAGTTTAATGGAAGGGGCTCTTCTCCCAAAACCCTGTGGTATAAGTAGCTGGGAAGAGTTCACCCAACTTGGGGCTGCAAGGACTCTTTCTTCTCACATCATTGTTTTCCTTTCTCTCCGCCAAACTTCTCTGAAAACCCTAAAGTTGGCAGAAAAATAGAGAATGTTTTCCCTACTAACAAAAATAATCTTCAAGAGTCTCTTGGAATTTGTAACTGGGTGCATTTACTAGTCTGTTTTTTTATGGTTTTTTAATTTAATTTAATTTAATTTTTTTATTATTATACTTTAAGTTTTAGGGTACATGTGCACATTGTGCAGGTTAGTTACATATGTATACATGTGCCATGCTGGTGCACTGCACCCACTAACTCGTCATGTAGCATTAGGTATATCTCCCACTGCTATCCCTCCCCCCTCCCCCCACCACACCACAGTCCCTAGAGTGTGATGTTCCCCTTCCTGTGTCCATGTGATCTCATTGTTCAATTCCCACCTATGAGTGAGAATATGCGGTGTTAGGTTTTTTGTTCTTGCGATAGTTTACTGAGAATGATGATTTCCAATTTCATCCATGTCCCTACAAAGGACGTGAACTCATCATTTTTTATGGCTGCATGGTATTCCATGGTATATATGTGCCACATTTTCTCAATCCAGTCTATCATTGTTGGACATTTGGGTTGGTTCCAAGTCTTTGCTATTGTGAATAATGCTGCAATAAACATACGTGTACATGTGTCTTTATAGCAGCATGATTTATAGTCCTTTGGGTATATACCCAGTAATGGGATGGCTGTGTCAAATGGTATTTCTAGTTCTAGATCCCTGAGGAATCTCCACATTGACTTCCACAATGGTTGAACTAGTTTACAGTCCCACCAACAATATAGAAGTGTTCCTATTTCTCCACATCCTCTCCAGCACCTGTTGTTTCCTGAATTTTAATGATTGCCATTCTAACTGGTGTGAGATGGTATCTCGTTGTGGTTTTGATTTGCATTTCTCTGATGGCCAGTGATGATGAGCATTTTTTCATGTGTTTTTTGGCTGCATAAATGTCTTCTTTTGAGAAGTGTCTGTTCATGTCCTTCACCCACTTTTTGATGGGGTTGTTTGTTTTTTTCTTTTAAATTTGTTGGTGTTCATTGTAGATTCTGGATATTAGCCCTTTGTCAGATTAGTAGGTTGCGAAAATTTTCTCCCATTTTGTAGGTTGCCTGTTCACTCTGATGGTAGTTTCTTTTGCTGTGCAGAAGCTCTTTAGTTTAATTAGATCCCATTTGTCAATTTTGGTTTTTCTTGCCATTGCTTTTGGTGTTTTAGACATGAAGTCCTTGCCCATGCCTATGTGCTGAATGGTAATGCCTAGGTTTTCTTCTAGGGTTTTTATGGTTTTAGGTCTAACGTTTAAGTCTTTAATCCATCTTGAATTGATTTTTGTATAAGGTGTAAGGAAGGGATTCAGTTTCAGCTTTCTATATATGGCCAGCCAGTTTTCCCAGCACATTTATTAAATACGGAATCCTTTCCCCATTGCTTGTTTTTCTCAGGTTTGTCAAAGATCAGATAGTTGTAGATATGCGGCGTTATTTCTGAGGGCTCTGTTCTGTTCCATTGATCTATATCTCTGTTTTGGTACCAGTGCCATGCTGTTTTGGTTACTGTAGCCTTGTAGTATAGTGTGAAGTCAGGTAGTGTGATGCCTCCAGCTTTGTTCTTTTGGCTTAGGATTGACATGGCGATGTGGGCTCTTTTTTGGTTCCATATGAACTTTAAAGTAGTTTTTTCCAGTTCTGTGAAGAAAGTCATTGGTAGCTTGATGGGGATGGCATTGAATCTATAAATTACCTTTGGCTGTGTGGCCATTTTCGTGATATTGATTCTTCCTACCCATGAGCATGGAATGTTCTTCCATTTGTTTGTATCCTCTTTTATTTCCTTGAGCAGTGGATTGTATTTCTCCTTGAAGAGGTCCTTCACGTCCCTTGTAAGTTGGATTCCTAGGTATTTTATTCTCTTTGAAGCAATTGTGAATTGGAGTTCACTCATGATTTGGCTCTCTGTTTGTCTGTTGTTGGTGTATAAGAATGCTTGTGATTTTTGTACATTGATTTTGTATCCTGAGAATTTGCTGAAGTTGCTTATCAGTTTAAGGAGATTTTGGGCTGAGATGATGGGGTTTTCTGGATATACAATCATGTCATCGGCAAACAGGGACAATTTGACTTCCTCTTTTCCTAATTGAATACCCTTTATTTCCTTCTCCTGCCTAATTGCCCTGGCCAGAACTTCCAACACTATGTTGAATAGGAGTGGTGAGAGAGGGCATCTCTCTCTTGTGCCAGTTTTCAAAGGGAATGCTTCCAGTTTTTGCCCATTCAGTATGATATTGGCTGTGGGTTTGTCATAGGTAGCTCTTATTATTTTGAAATACATCCCATCAATACCTAATTTATTGAGAGTTTTTAGCATGAAGTCTTGTTGAATTCTGTCAAAGGCCTTTTCTGCATCTATTGAGATAATCATGTTGTTTTTGTCTTTGGTTCTGTTTATATGCTGGATTACATTTATTGATTTGCGTATATTGAACCAGCCTTGCACCCCAGGGATGAAGCCCTCTTAATCATGGTGAATAAGCTTTTTGGTGTGCTGCTGGATTCGGTTTGCCAGTATTTTATTGAGGATTTTTGCATCAATGTTAATGAAGGATATGGTCTCAAATTCTCTGTTTTGGTTGTGTCTCTGCCCGGCTCTGGTATCAGAATGATGCTGGCCTCATAAAATGAGTTAGGGAAGTTTCCCTCTTTTTCTATTGATTGGAGTAGTTTCAGAAGGAATGGTACGAGTTCCTCCTTGTACCTCTGGTAGAATTCGGCTGTGAATCCATCTGGTCCTGGACCCTTTTTGGTTGGTAAGCTATTGATTATTGCCACAATTTCAGATCCTGTTATTGGTGTATTCAGAGATTCAACTTCTTCCTGGTTTAGTCTTGGGAGAGTGTATGAGCCGCGGAATTTATCCATTTCTTCTAGATTTTCTAGTTTATTTGCGTAGAGGTGCTTGTAGTATTCTCTGATGGTAGTTTGTATTTCTGTGGGATCGGTGGTGATATCCTCTTTATCATTTTTTATTTTGTCTATTTGATTCTACTCTCTTTTTCTCTTTATTAGTCTTGCTAGCTTTCTATCTATTTTGTTGATCCTTTCAAAAAAACAGCTCCTGGATTCATTAATTTTTTGAAGGTTTTTTTGTGTCTCTATTTCCTTCAGTTCTGCTCTGATTTTAGTTATTTCTTGCCTTCTGCTAGCTTTTGAATGTGTTTGCTCTTGCTTTTCTAGTTCTTTTAATTGTGATGTTAGGGTGTCAATTTTGGAAGTTTCTGTTTTTTTTTTTTTTTTTTTTTTTGAGATGGAGTCTTGCTCTGTCACC
Source organism: Homo sapiens (assembly GCF_000001405.40). NCBI lineage: Eukaryota > Metazoa > Chordata > Mammalia > Primates > Hominidae > Homo > Homo sapiens. Next base: position 11,423,831 of record NC_000024.10, on the reverse strand, counting down.
TAGGCTGGAGTGCAGTGGCACGATCTCGGCGCACTGCAACCTCCGCCTCCCAGATGCGAGCGATACTCCTGTCTCAGCCTCCTGAGTAGCTTGGATTAAAGGTGCGCACCACCACGTCCGGCTAATTTTTTTGTATTTTTTAGTAGAGACGGGATTTCACCATGTTGGTCAGGCTGATCTCAAACTCCTGACCTCGTGATCCACCTGCCTTGGCCTCCCAAAGTACTGGGATTACAGACGTGAGCCACTGCACCCAGCCTTCTAGTTTGGTATTTTTCTTATTCAGGTAACAAGGAAAAAATAATAACTCCACCAAGAGTAAAACAGAAAAAAGGAACAAAACTGATAGCATGAATGAAAAGGCCTGGGGTGGCACCTCATTTCAGGCATAGCTGGATACAGGCACTTATACAAGATAAGTCTCTCTAATATCTCAGTGCTTGCTTCCCTTTGATTACTTCATTCTCATGCGGTTCTTTCCACATAGTGACCTGAGCAGCTCCTAACTCACATCTGCCCAAGAAAGCAGAGGCTGTTCCCCAATAGTTCCAGCCAAAGTCCCAGGACTGACTTTCTCTGGACCCATTTGGGCCACATGCCCCTGCCTGAGCCAATCACCACATCCAGCCTGGCCAGACCTGGCTTTCATGAAGCCCCTTCAGGAAGCGGTTGGGGTCATTCCCTCCAGAAGGACATGGGGAAAACCAGAAATTGGGAGGAGGGATGCTTCCTTCTGAAAAATAGGGATGCAATTACCACAGGAAGTATCAATTACAGGGCTGGCACAAACAAGAGCTATCCACGGCACCATCATGTAGGCATGCAGTAGGTCCACCATGAAGCAACCTGGCTGCTCCGCAATACGGAGTCACAGTTAATTCAGTCAATGAGAAATATCCCTCTACTTGGGTTCCCACCATTCACCCCATGCCTGGCACATCCCAAATTTGCTTGGTCAAAGGCAAGCAAATTATCCGCTTTCTTTGCTGCACAAAAAGCTGAAAAGATTATCTTACTTCTCTGGCTCAAGAACTTTCTATGACTCCCTCTGGCTACTTATGTGGCTCCCCCACCCTTAATGATAGAAGCCAACATTCACGAATCTCTTACCACATGCCAGTTACCTTATGGACCTGACTCCTCCAGACAGCATAGAAGAGGTTGGTACTCTTACCGCACCCATTTTGTAAATATGGAAACAAAGGCTCAGCAATTTGAGGTAATTTACCCAGAGCCAAATTTAGGAAGTGCAGAGTTCAGATTAGCACAATATTGTTCCCGCCATTGCCATCCCAGCTCCATTTGTTCATGTTTCAAAGTCCTACACACACTTCTATCTAGGGGTCAGTGGGAACAACTCCATGGCAGAAGACGCCACTAGGAACCCCTTTAGCTTCTGCAGTGGTGGGGCTGGGGAGTAGGTGCAAAAGATACTTAGCTTTACCATCCTCTCCCATAATTTTTTTTTTTTTTGAGATGGATTCTCACTCTGTCACCCAGGCTGGAGTGCAGTGGTGCGATCTCAGCTCACTGCAACCTCTGCCTCCTGGGTTCAAGCAATTCTCATGCCACAGCCTCTGGAGTAGCTGGGATTACAGGTACCCACCACCACACCTGACTAATTTTTGTATTTTTAGTAAAGATGGGGTTTCACTATGTTGGCCAGGCTACTCTCAAACTCCAGACCTCAAGTGATCCACCCGCCTCAGCTTCCCAATGTGCTGGGATTGCTAAGCCACCATGCCTGGCCCCATCTCCCATAACTTAATGGGATAGGGAAAATAATTCCTCCAAGATAAAATTAAAGTGACCTTAGGAAAGGAAGTAGGTGTTTGGTAGCCTTCAACCAGCAACTGATTTCTCCCATTGATGAGTCAATTAGTTTTCTATGGCTGCTGTAACAAATTACCACGAACTGATTGGCTTACATCAACACAGACTTAATATCTTATTGTTCTATATGTCAGAAGCCTCAAATCAGTTTCACTTGACTATAGTCAAGTTGTAAAGGACTGATTCCTTCAGGAGGTTCTGAAGGAAAAACCCGTTTTCTTTCCTTTTTCTGCTTTTAGTGGTTACCTATATACCCTGAATTGTGGCCCTTTCCTCCATTTTTAAAGCACACCACTCCAATCTCTGCACAGTGCTATGGTTTGAATGTGTCCCCCGAAGTTCATGTGTTGGAAATTTAATCTCCAATGCAACAGTGTTGAGAGGCGGGACCTTTAAGAGATTAGGTCATGAAAGATCTGCCCTCATTAATAGAGTAATGATGTTATCTCAGCAGAGGGTTAATTATCATGGGATGGGTTGCTAATAAAATGATTGAGTTCAGCCCCCTTTCTCTCTTGATGTGATACCTTCCATCATGGGATGACACAACAAGAAGACCCTCACCAGAAGCTGGCCCCTTGATCTTGACATTCCCAGCCTCCAGAACTGTAAGAAATAAACCTGTTCTTTATAAATTACCCAGTCTCAGATATTGCATAGCAATACAAAAAAGACTAAGACAGTCATCATCGCATTGCCATCTCCCCTGACTGCTGAGTCCCTCTTAAAAGAGCACAGTAGGCTGGATGTGGTGGCTCACGCATGTAATCCCAGCACTTTGGGAAGTCAAGGTGGGCAGATCACGCGGTCAGGAGTTCAAGACTAGCCTGGCCAACATGGTGAAACCCCATCTCTACTGGAAAAACAAAAATTAGTTGGGCATGTTGGCGAGCGCCTGTAATCCAGCTACTCGGAAGGCTGAGGCAAGAGAATCGCTTGAACCTTGGGAGGTGGAGTTGCAGCGAATCGAGATTGTGCCATTACACTCCAGCCTGGGCACCAAGAGCAAAAAACTCCGTCTCGAAAAAAAAAAAAAAGAGCACTGTGATGGGACACTGGACCCACAGGCAACATAGGATAAGTTCCCATCTCAAGATGCTTAATCACATCTGCAAAGTCCCTTTTTTCATGGAACATAGTCACAGATTCCGGGGATTAAGTTGAGGACACTTTGGAGGGGCCATTATTCAGCCTGCCATGGAAGATATCATGAGAAGGAGTTAATACAAAATGCTCTGGAAACAGAGAAGGTGGCCAGGCATGGTAGCTCATGCCTCTAATCCCAGTACCTTGGGAGGGAGGCGGTGGGATTGCCTGAGGTCAGGGGTTCAAGACCAGCGTAACCAGCATGGTGAAACCCCATCTCTACTAAAAATACAAAAATTAGCTGGGCATGGTGGCAGGTGCCTGTAATCCCAGCTACTCGGGAGGCTGAGTCAGGAGAATCGCTTGAACTCAGGAGGTGGAGGTTGCAGTGAGCTGAGATCGCACCATTACACTGCAGCCTGGGTGACAAGCATGAGACTTCATCTCAATTTAAAAAAAAAAAAAAGAAAAAAGAAAAAGAAAGAGAGAAAATCTGGCTAACTCTCTACAGTGGGAAAAAAGTCCCAGGAAACCACAGCCTCCACATTAAATATTCAAATGAGCTAAAACCTATCTGACTGGCAATCTCAGCCTTATTCCTTTAAACATGCAAACCACCTAAATTCCCAACAAACCGCCTACACCAGGCCAGCCAAGTCTCAGAATGCTTATATACCCTTTAATAGAAATTTCCAACCACCATCCCCATTTCCTAAGGAAATGGCTGTGTACGGCTTGAGCCTGCCTTGACTGAGTTGCCAGTGGTCTTTGAACCACAGCACTCAATTCATGGCATGGCCAGCGAGCTACAAAGTGCCCTAGCATCAACCAAGCAAAATTATAAAAGCAGATTCAGTGGACAATAATGAACATAAGTTTTAGAGTCAAAAAGACCTGGGTTGGGTCCCAGCTCTGCCCTTTACCAGCTGCACGACATCAGAAAAGTTACCTTCATCCTCCAACTTTGGTTTCCTCACCTGTGACATGACAGTGGCTAGAGGACCTCATTCATAGAATCACTATGAGGACAAGAGCAGCCAAGGGTAAGTCTTTTCACAGGGCCTCCCCAGTCATTATTGGGTCAAGAAGACATACCCATGCCTTATCTCCACTTCCAAAACCCAAACAGCTCTCAAAAATGAGTCATTGTAGCTCATTTGGAAGAAAAGGCTGATATGAATCAACATGCAAATACCTATAATCTTTTTCTATCCCTCTTACTGTGAATATTTGCTGTGGAAATATTAACATGTTTGGTCTCCACTGGGGTAGGACTCCACATGTGTAGGACTCCACTGGGGTGCTACACATACACATAGTAGATATGCCTTACCACCTTCCTAAAATTGGGTAATTAAATTTCACAACTTATCTAGCCCAAAGTTTTCAGAGACTGTAGACCTGTATCTTTATGAGGGCAAGGATGAGAATATAACCTGGCCTGTTATTATGCATCAAGGTACCTGCTGTTCTCATGAAGATGTCAGCAGCCAGCCAGCCAGTCTCTACAAACTCCACCCCCAACCTCGCTATGCTCCTTTCCCTGGAACTTTCCAAGGGGCCCTTAGAATTTGTATTCAGCTCTCACAGGCTGAGACCAGGCTGACATCCTGGGAAACCTGCCTAGTGATAACCAAGGTGTAGCTCCAGATGAAAGGCACACAACAACTTTAAATATAAAAAAGCCATTCAGGCTAGGCACAGTGGCTCACATGTGTAATCCCAACACTTTAAGAGACCGAGGCAGGCAGATCACCTGAGGTCAGAAGTTCAAGACGAGGCTGGCCAAGATGGCAAAACCCTGTCTGTACAAAAAAATATAAAAATTAGCTTGGCATGGTGGTGCATACCTGTAATCCCAGCTACTCAGGAGGCTGAGGCACGAGAATTGCTTGAACCTGGGAAGCAGAGGTTTCAGTGAGCCAAGCTTGCACCACTACACTTCAGGCTGGGCAACAGGGTGAGACTCCATCTCAAATAAATAAATAAATAATAAAGCCATTCAACTAAAGAACTGATTATCAAGCAGAAGAACAAAGCCCAGGTTCCATCAGGTTTTTAATTATACATCAGTGACTGTGAAAAAGCAATTATTCCCATAATTAAAATACAAACTATAAAAAACAGACTCAAAGAAAAGAAAGATGACAGAGTGAAAGAAGGTACATTTCTTTCATGTTCAAACCACGGAGTTCACAACAGAGCAGCACACACAGCCGGACGCTTTGTGGTCTCAGCACCCTCGGCTTCCCCTTCACGAGGCCGCTTTCGAATAGTAGAAGGCTGAAAATAAAGGAAAATGGAGAAATGTTCAAAAGAAAATCACTGGATTCTTTAAGATTGTCAAAGTTCCTCAATGTACTTCCAGTAAAGTGGAGGTATTTGACGTGAAATTCTAGTACCAAAAATTACTGGTTGTCATCATTGACAACTGAGTCTTCACCACAGCCCTCAACTCAGACATGCTTATCTAATAGATATTTCTCTCCCTATGGCTTCTGACACCTGAATGATGTTTACTGAAAGCAAGTAGCATAACCAACTTCCTCTGGATCATCCTCTTCTAAATATCAAGTTTAAAAGGACTACAATACCTCTCAGTTGAAGCCCCAAGTCTTGGTCTTTTGCGGGAAGACAACCTTTGTGCTTTAGTTGTTTTCCCATATACAAAATTGGGAGGAAGGCTGGGTGTGGTGACTCACACCTGTAATCCCAGCACTTTGGGAAGCCGAGGTGGGCAGGACGCTTCAGGTCAAAAGTTCGAGACAAGCCTGACCAACATGGCAAAACCCCATCTCACCTAAAAATACAAAAATTAGCTGGGCACAGTGGCAGACACCTGTAGTCCCAGATACTCGGGAGACTGAGGCAGGAGAACTGCTTGAACCCAGGAGGCAGAGGTTGCAGTGAGCTGAGATTGCACCACTGCACTCTGGCCTGAGTGACAGACTAAGACTCTGTCTCAAGAAAAAAAAAAATCAGGGGTGGCGGGGAGGAAACAGTGGGAAAAAGGACAGCTACCATTCAACAACAACAACAACAAAAAAGCAGGACTGGAATTAACTTATACTCACAAAGAACTTTAAAGAATAAAATTGTAATCAAGGAATCAACTACTGACCCAAATTTTAATTTTTCCAACAAATTTATATTTGAGCCTCTAATAGAGTATTTCAAAATTGCCTTGCAGGTGACCTTTTGGATGACAATCCCTAGCTGTGCTTATCTGTCTATTATGTGTTAGACATTAAACATATCCTGCATTTTAAAATCTAAGGGTGCTGGAGTGAATCAAGTTCAAACAGAGTTTCTACTACCTTATAACTGAAACAATGTTAAGCAATTGCTGCTCAGGAAAATCTTGAATTTCATCATCTTTGCTTATCAGCTCCTTAAGCCCAGACTACATTTAGTGATCATCAGGAATACGAATACCGGGGCTAGAACCTGAGATAGAGCTGTGGATTCATTTTCCTCAGACAGAAGATCTTGAAACTTTCTCTTCATGTCTTCATCCTGTGAGGGAATTAAAAACATAAGTAGCTGTGTCTGAAGTATAATAAACTCCTGGAATGACAGGGGTAGCATGTCCCTGTGGAAAGAGGGAGGAAAAGATGTCTGTCCAAGAATCATCCCCTTGATGAAGCTCCCACAGCAAAGGCATTATGTGTTGCCCCCCTCTACCTTCCCAGAGGAGTCCAATTAGCGGTCAATGCTCCATCAATCCTGGCTGACTCACATCCACATGCCTAAAAGCTCTCAGTGGGTCAATCACAGCCTCCAGATGTCAAGAGTTTCTGAATTAGCATCCCAGATCCTGAGAAAGGTGACAATAAGGGGGCCAGGGGCTGGGCCTGACTCCATGCAAATCCTAAAATCCTTCCAGGACCACTCTCCACCTGCTGCCCTTGCCATGAATGAGGCCAGTCACCCAGGCTGTCCTAACAACCAGCCCAGCACCCTAGGAAAATTCACACAGCAGATGCCATAAAAATTTTCAGAAGTACTTAAGCCCCCAATATCCCAGAGCTCAGGTCTAATGAGAAAGGGAGACAATAAACAGACCAAAGCATTACAGGTGTTTCATGCTGCAGGAGCGGGAGATGAGGAGGGCACAGACAGTGTGTATACCAGTAGCTCCCACCTCTCTAGATGCTTACTTCTGCAGGGTTCAAGGATTTGCATTAGGAAACCCTGAGAGGTGGTCTGGTGCAGCTCTTCCCATCTTCAGCAAGGTGAAAGGAACATCTATAACTAGGAATGTGGCCTTTGAGTGTTGGCCAGAAGGCCAGCTCAGCCACTCACAGGTGGCATGTGCAGAATACAGACCCAGAGTTATCTGATTCCAATGCCTCATGTACTTTCCCACCCAACTCCAGCCCCTCCTCCAACTAAGCCAAGCATACCACAGTGGGGAAAGGGAGAGGATACAGCAAAGTCCTCCACCATTTGGCAATTTGATGGATATGGAAATTTTACAACACTAGGTTGGGCATGGTGGCTCATGCCTATAATCCCAGCATTTTGGGAGGCCAAGGTGGGAGAATTGCTTGAGGCCAGGAATTTGAGACCAGCCTGGGCAATATAGTGAGACTTTGTCACTACAAAAAAAATTTAAACATTAGTCCAGGCACAGAGGCTCACGCTGGTAATCTCAGCACTTTGGGAGGCCAAGGCAGGCAAATCACCTGAGGTCAGAAGTTTGAGATCAGCCTGGCTAACATGGTGAATCCCCGTCTCTACCTAAAATACAAAATTAGCCAGGCGTGGTAGTGCATGCCTGTAATCCCAGCTACTCAGGAGGCTGAGGAAGGAGAATCACTTGAACTCAAGAGGTGGAGGTTGCAGTAAGCCAGGATCACACCACTGCACTCCAGCCTGGGCAAAAGAGTAAGACTCTGTCTCCAAAAAAAAAAAAAAAAATTAAATTAGCCAGACATGGTGGCATGCACCTGTAGTCTCAGCTACTTGGGAGGCTGGGGCAGGAGGAACACTTGAGCCTGAAAGTCATGGTGCAGTGATCATGCCACTGCACTCCAGCCTAGGTGAGCAAAGAAGACCCTGAGGAAGGAAGGAAGGAAAGAAACAAGGAAGGAAAAAGGGAGGGGGGATGAAAGAGGGGAGAGGAAAGAAATGGAGGAGAGGGGAGGGGGAAGGAAGGAGGAAGAAAGAAAGAAGGAAAGGAGGACCAGGCACAGTGGTTCATGCCTGTAATCCCAGCACTTTGGGAGGCGAAGGCAGGGCATATCTCTTGAGGTCACTCTGTTTTGAGTTTCACAGTGTAGCTCCCCATTGCAATTTGACAGCAGCAAGCTCATCTGGATTCCTCTCCGCACCCTCTCACGGCCTTACTTTGGATCTCAATTATCTTGCAGTGTCACTCTCAAAAGTCCATCTCTTGGCAGACCTTCAGTAAAGCCAAACAGAGTGGTCACAAGCCTAATCAGGCCTATATTTAAAACAAGTAATCAGGTCAGGCTCAGTGGCTCATGCCTGGAATCCCAGCACTTTGGGAGGCCAAGGTGGGTGGATCACCTGAGGTCAGGAGTTTGAGACTAGTCTGACCAACACGGTGAAACCTCATCTCTACTAAAAATACAAAAATGAACTGGGCATGGTGGCAGGCACCTGTAATTCCAGCCACTTGGGAGGCTGATGCAATAGAATCACTTGAACCCAGAGGTGGAGGTTGCAGTGAGTTGAGATCACACCGTTGCACTCCAGCCTGGTAGACAAAAGCGAGACTCCATCTCAAAAAAGGAAATAAATAAATAAACATTGATTTTCTTCATGATGTCTACAATTATTCCAAAATATTAAATTAGTCAGGAACAGTGGCTCGTGCCTATTATCCAAGCACTTTGTGAGGCTGAGGCGGGAGGATCCCTTAAGACCAGGAGGTCGAGGCTGCAGTGAGCTATAATTGCACCAGTGCACTCCAGTTTAGGCAATAGAAGAAGACCTTGTCTCGAACAATAAATAAAATAAAAATTAAATTATAATATCCCTTGAAAGCAAACAGAAGAAATCGTCTATTTCAGGCAGTAAATATGAGGCAGACAGTAGATGTAAGGGATGCTCCCAAAATTGGGCACTGTGTTAATGACAAAACAGAAACAAGAATCCACATTCCCAACACTCAGTCCAGCTCCAGACCCACAAAACCATTTGTTTTTTGCGAAAACACTGAATTTTCCCAAAATAAAACCCAAACTATCACTAACAGATGTTTTAGATGGTCAGTCTTCATCCTTGTCTTCATTCAATGCTCATTCCTCCTTTTACTGCAAAAACAAAAGGTGGCTAAAAGAGTATTCCAGGGAGATCCTGCAACAGAGTTGAACTTCACCTTCTCCTTGGTTGTTAATAAGTTTTATTTGAGACGAAATACAAGAAAAATGGGCTACCCTTGCTCATAAATTTCAGGCAGATGCAAACCCTGTTCCCAGGCTCAACAGGCCAGCTCTGTTTTTTGCTAGGGATGAACACAGCTCCTGTACCTCTACATTTAGACCCGAGAATTTCCCTATTAGGACACATGAAAAGAGCCAAAAGACATGTTTCTTTTTTTCATCAAAATTAAAATCCCCACATGCAAAGGCACCCTTTGTTTCCAAAGCCCTTTCCTGCAGGGTCCCGCTGTCTCAAATCTGTGTGGTCTATTAAATGCTAAATCATCTGACAGATTTCTTCTGGGGAGACTGTAGTTTCCAGGGCAACATCCAAAACACATATATCTGTCTTTTTTTTTTTAAGTTTTTGTTGTTCTCAACCTGAGCTGGCCTGAGCAAAACTGTTAGGTGTAGAGTATTAGAACAGAGAATGGGGACAGTCTTCCTAGAGTCCCAGAAGTACGGGGCTGAGGCTGGATTGCCCAAGGAGTTCCTGGACCAGTAATCCCCAGAGAAACAGCATTTAGCTCAAGTAACAGCCTCTAGCTCAAGCTACCAGTTCTGTCCCCCATCTCCACAGAAAACGGATTGATACAGTTTGGCTTTATGTCCCTGCCCAAATCTCATCTCAAATTGTAATCCCCAGGTGTTGAGAAAGGGACCTATTGAGAGGTGATTGGCTCATGGGGACAGTTTCCCCCAGGCTATTCTCGTGATAGTGAGTTCTCACGAGATCTGACAGTTTCATAAAAGTCTCTTCGCCCTTCACTTCCTTCACAAGCTCTCTCACCTGCTGCCATTAAGACATGCCTTCTTCCCCTTCCACCATGATTGTAAGTTTCCTGAGGCCTCCCCAGCCATGTGGAGCTGTGAGTCAATTAAACGTCCTTTCTTTATAAATTACCCAGTCTTGGGCAGTTCTTTATAGCAGTGTGAGAACAGACTGATACACAGACCAAAAGAAAATTAATAGAAAGGGACATGGCTGTGTTGAATGGAACTGCTCGTTACAGAAGACCAAACATCTATCAGAAAACCTGCCCAATGGGGTAGCTAATTCAAAAACTAAAGATTAATCCAGCAAAGCCAAAACGTACTTCCAACTCTTGACAGTTCCAAATGAGGTCAGCATTTAATAATGGCAACCCCAACCCCTAGCAGGAGCACAGCAGTAACACAGATGAAAGGTGCACGTGACGGCCTTCACTAAGGACACATTTACTCACCGGAATGAACAAGCAGTGGGAAGCTTTATACCCAGTCACTTGGGCTTGAGAAATAGCTGGATTCTCCCCAGGGAGGCTGCCCTCCTCCCCCTCCCCCACTTCCCTGATTTAAAGTTGAAGATGGCTGGAATGCACCCCACCTATGAAGAGCAGTGGGCATGGCTGGGGGTAGAGCCAGAACAAGCCCTCAAAAGAACACAGGCCAGACTGAAGACTTGGGACAGCCAAGTGGAACCAGAACAGGACATAAATTGAGCTTGTACATCCAACAGCCATGAGTAACATCAAAAAGATTGTAGCCTGGCCAACACGGCGAAACCCCATCTCTACAAAAAACACAAAAAGTAGTTGGGCTTCGTAGCATGCACCTTTAATCCCAGCTACTTAGGAGGCTGAGGCAGGAGAATCACTTGAACCCAAGGGGCAGAGGTTGCAGTGAGCTGAGATCGTGCCAGTGCACTCCAGCCAGGATGAGAGAATGAGAACCTGTCTCAAAAAAGAAAAAAAAATACAGGTTGTAACCCGTCCTCCAAGATACCCCCCGTACATCTAAAACAATTAGATTAAACAGACTAAACATGTTTCTGTCCTCTGTCTCATGTCTTTCAGGCAGCAGGGCTTCCCATGTATTTTATGCTTGCAGGCACTGTCCCACACCCACCTGAAGACACGGTGTCTTAAGGCTTCTTCTGTCATAAAACGTGCCTTTGGATCCACTACCAACAACTTCTTGACAAGGTCCAGTGCTAAAGCAACAATTGGGCAAATCACAGTGAAAAGGATAAATATATTATCAGTAATAATATGCCAGAATTAACAGGTCACCATCCAGAAAGAGCAGAGAGGGTCTGAGATCATCAGGGGGTCAGCAGACACGACCCCCTAATCTTCCTCACTCTCTGTATTCAGAGTACTGTGAGAAGACCAGGAATGATAATGACACTCCCTGTCTCCTGCTGCTGGGACATCATTCACAGCCTCTTCGCTGCCTGTTCCTTCTCCTGTTGCTAGACTCAAGGTCAAACTAATTAAAGCTAAACTTCTACCCAATTCTAAGATACTTGGGATGCACAGCAAACTCTCCCTGAAAGATGAATGGGTGAGAGTTACTCAGCCAGGGAGAGGCTCCCTGGAACTGAAGACTTGTCAGAAATAAAACTTGACTACTCCAGCAGCAACAAATGCACGCTGGCCTGTATATTGCAACATAATTATTCCTTAAATACTCTGACATTTAACACAATCACCTATGTTATGTTATTTGACATTCAAGACTTAGAATATTATATAGGCTAGTGAATATTATCCTTCATCTCTGGAGTATGAAAAGGAGCGTAACTGGTGAAATTGCTGTTTTTTTGTTATCTGACTAAGTGTATTAACCAAATCCAGTGAACTTTTCTGTCTGCATCGTATTCAAGATCTTTGCAGCTTTTGACGCCGATGATCACTCTCTTATTGAAACACTTCTCTTTTTTTTCTAATTCTGAGGCACCACTTACTGGTTTTCTTCTTCCCTCACTGCTTCATCCTTTTTTGTCTTCCATTTTCCATTCTTCTTTTCCTAACTTCTAAATATGAAATATCACTCAGGACTTAGACATGGGCCTTTTCCTCTTTTCCTTTTACATAGTTTGTCTATGTGATCTCATCAATGTCCAAGATATCATATTTATGCATGCAACCTTCTAATTTAAACATTATCTGGCCAGGCACTGTAGTTCACACCAGTAATCCCAGCACTTTGGGGGCTGAGTCGGGCAGATCATCTGAGGTTGGGTGTTCAAACCAGCCTGGCCAACATGGTGAAAACCCATCTCTACTAAAAAATACAAAATTAACCAGACATCATGGCATGCACCTGTAGTCCCAGCTACTCAAGAGGCTGGGGCAGGAGAATCGCTTGAACCCAGGAGGCAGAGGTCGCAGTGAGCCAAGATTGCGCTACTGCACTCCAGCCTCAAAAAAAAAAAAAAAAATATATATATATATATATGTATATATATATATATATATATATATGTATATATATATATACACACACACACACACACACACACATATATAAAATCATTATAGATATAGTTGAAGCTTCCTGTGTACTATTTTCCAACCTCATTCCTCTCCTTTTCCTGGAGGTACTAGCTATGCAGATAAAAGCAGAAATTAATGTCAGTAGCAGTGTATTCATCATGTGTCAATGTCTTCATGACAAAGGAAGTTTAAAAATTTGTGTTCCTGGCTTCTGCATTGAGAAAGTAATATTAATAATATTAGAAATTCTCCAAATATGGGGTGACTTATTAAAACCTGCTCAGGCCAGGTGCCATGACTGATGCCTGTAATCCCAACACTTCGGGGCACCAAGGTGGAAGAATCATTTGAAGCCAAGAGTTTGCGGCTAGCTTGGGCAACATAGTGAGACTTAATCTCTACAAAATAAAAACTTTTTTAAAATTAGCTAGGCATTGCGGTGTGTGCCTGTAGTCCCAGCTACTCAGGAGGCTAAGGCAGAGGGTCCCTAGAACCCACGAGTTCAAGGATGCTGTGAGATATATGATCGTGCCACTATTCCAACCCAGGCAACAGGGCAAGACCCTGTCTCTTTAAAAATAATAAAATAAAATAAAAGCTGCTTGGGCAAATTGTTAAACGTTTGCTTCTGTTCCTGAGATACCCAACTGGTCCAGAATTTTTTTTAGGATACATTATTAGATTTACTATTATTTTATTTTAGATGTTTGTATCTAAGCTTAGTTTAGCCTGCAATTTTCTTGGATTATAATGATCTTAAATATTTATATTGCATTTATGTTAGCCTCACAAAATGAATTGAAGGTGTTCCCTTTTTTTCCATTCTCTGAAATTATTTTGATATGATAGTGCTTATTTATATGTTCTTTGAATGTTTGGTAGAACTTTCATATTAAAGTATCTCATACTAGTGGGTGTTTTCTATGAGAAAGTATTTACTGATTGAATTTTTAAAAATAGATACATGAATATTCAGGTGTCCTATTTCTTCTTGACTAAGTGTTTATAAGATGTAGTAGCCAACGAAGTTGTTCATTTCATTTATATTTTTAGACTGTTTTCATATAGTCATTTATAGTATTCACTTTATTATTTTTTCACTCATATTTTATGTTACACTTCATTTTTTATTCCTAATATTGCTTATTTATACCTTCTCTTTTTAATTAATCAATGTTACCAGAAGAGTGCCTATTTTATTATTCTTTTCAAAGAATCAGCATTTGGTTTTCTGAATCTTGCCTATTGTTTCTTTGTTTTATAGTTTATTAATGTCTATTTCTACTTTTAGCCTTATTGAGTTTAATTTATTTTATTTAGGTTTACTCCAATTTTTTTTTTCAGAGTCTTGCTCTGTTGCCCAGGCTGCAATGCAGTGGCCCAATCTTGGCTCACTACAACATCTGCCTCCCTGGCTTAAGAAATTCTTCTGCCTCAGCCTCCCGAGTAGCTGGGATTATAGGCACCCACCACCACACCCAGCTAATTTTTGTATTTTCAGTAGAGACAGGAGTTTCACCATATTGACCAAGCTGGTCTTGAACTCCCGACCTCAGGTAATCTGCCCTCCTTGACCTCCCAAAGTGCTGGGATTAAAGGCCTGAGCCACCATGCCCAATCTCTTTTTCTCTTTCTAAACTTCCTAAGGTGGACACTTAACTAATTTTCAACCTATTTTTCAATATAAACATTTAAAGATATAAATTACCCTTTCAGTACTGCCTCAGCTCTATCTCACAAGTTTTGTTATGTAGTATTTCACTTCCAAATATCTTCTGATTTTTGTTTTCATGTCTTCTTTGACTGAAAAATTATTTAAGATACGCCTTTAATTTGAAGATGAAAGAAATTTACATTTTTTTCTCTTATAAATTGCATTTTGGTTAGAGAGGATAAGCCGCATGTTATAATGTTTGTTTATTTGTTGTGATTTGATTCATAGGCTAGCATAGGTTCAGTTCTCCTAAGACTTTATCAGGCTTCAAAGTATATATATTCTCTAATTTGAGCATACAGAAGTCTATATATTTCCTTTAAATTAAGCTTTTTTAATACAGTGGTTAAAATCTGAGATAATCTTACTACATTTTGATTATCATTGACTCAGAGGTTTAAGTTTCTTCAAGGTTGAGGATTTAGCCATTTTTCTTTGTAATTCTGCAATTTGCGCTTCATATATTTTGTGATTGAATTCTTACATGCATACATGTCCTTACATAATGACCTTTATTCCTCGGAATGTTTTTGTCTTAAATAATAGTTTTTGATATGAAAATAGCTATATCAGCCATATATTGGTTAATATTTGTTTTATTTATCATTTACTCATCTCATACCTTCAGAATTTTGTGTCTTCATGTTTTTAACTATTACGGGTTATACCTGGATTTTCACGTTTTTATCCAGTCTTCAAGTGCCTGTCTTTAACTAATTTAGATCATTTAAGTTTATTGTGGTTATGGATAAATTTATATTTACTTCTGCATTCATATTTTGTGCTTTCTGGTAACCATATTATTTCTCCAATTCTTTTCCCCAATGCATTCTATTAGATTGATCAAGGTTTTTCCCCTCTATTTGTTTAAAAGTTGTATGTTTTAGTTCTATTCTATTCACGATTACCCTTGAAATGTAATATGTGTACTTGAATTAACAAGTAATTTAAAAAACTAATCGTAAAATTAAAATCACTAGTTTCATCTTGAAGGATGCATTAATTTTGATCACCCTCATTCATCCCCAACTTATGTTTTCCAGTACTTTTCTTCCAATTTATATTTTATCAGCTTTTTTGAGGTATAATATACAGAGCACAAAATTTATTTATTTTAAATGCACATTTCAATGAGTTTTGACAAATTTATAGAGTTGTACAACAATTACAAAAATTCAGTTTTTGAATACTTACATAATCTCAAAAAGTTTCCTCATGTTTATTTTCATTAAATCCTCACTCCCACCTACCCAAGTCCCAAGTAACAAATGATCTGCTTTCTTTATAGATTTGTCTTCCATGAAAAGTTACATAGTTTGGCTGGGCACAGTGGCTCATGCCTGTAATACTAGCATTTTGGGAGGCCAAGGCGAGCAGATCACCTGAGCCCAGGAGTTCAAGACTAACCTAGGCAACATGGTGAAACCCCATCTCTACTAAAAACACAAAAATTAGCTGGGCATGGTGGCGCACCTGATAGCTACTCGAAGGCTGAAGTGTGACGGATTACATTTATTGATTTGCATATATTGAACCAGGCTCGCATTCCAGGGATGAAGCTGACTTGACAGTGGTGGATAAGCTTTTTGATGTGCTGCTGGATTCGGCTTGCCAGTATTTTATTGAGGATTTTTGCATTGATATTGATATTGGTCATCAGGGATATTGGTCTAAAATTCTCTTTTTGTTGTGTCTCTGCCAGGCTTTGGTATCAGGATGATGCTGGCCTCATAAAATGTGTTAGGGAGGATTCCCTCTTTTTCTATTCATTGGAATAGTTTCAGAAGGAATGGTACCAGCTCCTCTTTGTACCCCTGGTAGAATTCGGCTGTGAATCCATTTGGTCCTGGACTTTTTTTGATTGGTAGGCTAATTAAATATTGCCTCAATTTCAGAGCCTGTTATTGGTCTATTCAGGGATTCAACTTCTTCCTGATTTAGTCCTGGGATGGTGTATTTGTCCAGGAATTTATCCATTTCTTCTAGATTTTCTAGTTTATTTGTGGAGAGGGGTTTGTAGTATTCTCTAAGTATTCTCTGATGGTAGTTTCTATTTCCATGGGATCAGTGGTGAAATCGCCTTTATCACTTTTTATTGCATCTATTTGATTCTTCTCTCTTTTCTTCTTTATTAGTCTTGCTAGTGTTTTATCAATTTTGTTGATCTCTTCAAAAAACCAGCTTCTGGGTTCATTGATTTTTTGAAGGGTTTTTTGTTTCTCTATCTCCATCCGTTCTGCTCTGATCTTAGTTATTTCTTGCCTTCTGCTAGATTTTGAATTTGTGTGCTCTTGCTTCTCTAGTTCTTTTAATTGTGATGTTAGAGTGTTGTTTTTAGATCTTTTCTGTTTTCTCTTGTGGTTATTTAGTGCTATAAATTTCCCTCTACACACTGCTTTAAATGTGTCCCAGAGATTCTGATATGTTGTGTCTTTGTTCTCGTTGGTTTCAAAGAACATCTTTATTTCTGCCTTCATTTCGTTATTTACCCAATAGTCATTCAGGAGCAGGTTGTTCAGTTTCTGTGTATTTGTGTGGTTTTGAGTGAGTTTCTTAAACCTGAGTTCCAGTTTGATGGCACTGTGGTCTGGGAGACAGTTTGTTGTGATTTCTGTTCTTTTACATATGCTGAGGAGTGCTTTACTTCTAACTATGTGGTCAATTTTGGAATAAGTGAGATGTGGTGCTGAGAAGAATGTACATTCTGTTGATTTGGGGTGGAGCCTTCTGTAGATGTCTATTAGGTCTGCTTGTTGCAGAGCTGAGTTCAAGTCCTGGAAATCCTTGTTAACCTTCTGTCTCATTGATATGTCTAATATTGACAGTGGGGTGTTAAAGTCTCTCATTATTACTGTGTGGATGTCTAAGTCTCTTTGTAGGTCTGTAAGGACTTGCTTTAAGAATCTGGGTGCTCCTGTATTGGGTGCATGTATAGTTAGGATAGTTAGATCTTCTTGTTGCATTGATCCCTTTACCATTATATAAAGGCCATCTTTGTCTCTTTGATCTTTGTTGGTTTAAAGTCTGTTTTATCAGAGACTAGGATTGCAACCCATGCTATTTTTTGTTTTCCATTTTCTTGGTAGATCTTCTTCCATCCCTTTATTTTGAGCCTATGTCTGTCTCTCCACGTTAGATGGGTATCCTGAATACAGCACACTGATGGGTCTTGACTCTTTATCCAGTTTGCCAGTCTGTGTCTTTTAATTGGGGCATTTAGCCCATTTACATTTAAGGTTAATATTGTTATGTGTGAATTTGATCCTGTCATTATGATGTTAGCTGGTTATTTTGCTCATTAGTTGATGCAGTTTCTTCCTAGGATCGATGGTCTTTACAATTAGGCATGTTTTTGTGTGGCTGGTACTGGTTATTCCTTTCCATGTTTAGTGCTTCCTTCAGGAGCTCTTGTAAGGCAGGTCTGGTGGTGACAAAATCTCTCAGCATTTGCTTGTCTGTAAAGGAGTTTATTTCTCCTTCACTTATGAAGCTTAGTTTGGCTGGATATGAAATTCTGAGTTGAAAATTCTTTCCTTTAAGAATGTTGAATATTGGCCCCCACTCTCTTCTGGTTTGTAGGGTTTCTGCCAAGAGATCTGCTGTTAGTCTGACGTGCTTCCCTTTGTGGCTAACCCGACCTTTCTCTCTGGCTGCCCTTAATATTTTTCCTTTCACTTCAACCTTGGTGAGTCTGACAATTATGTGTCTTGGTGTTGCTCTTCTCGAGGAGTATCTTTATGGTGTTTTATGACCCTAACATCACAATTAAAAGAACTAGAAAACCAAGAGCAAACACATTCAAAAGCTAGCAGAAGGCAAGAAATAACTAAGATCAGAGCAGAACTGAAGTAAATAGAGACATAAAAAATCCTTCAAAAAATCAATGAATCTAGGAGCTGGTTTTTTGAAACGATCAACAAAATTGATAAACTGCTAGCAAGACTAATAAAGAAGAAAATAGAGAAGAATCAAATAGACGCAATAAAAAATGATAGAGGGGATATCACCACTGTTGCCTCAGAAATACAATCTACCATCAGAGAATACTACAAACACCTCTACGCAAATAAACTAGAAAATCCACAAGAAATGGATAAATTCCTCGACACATACACCCTCCCAAGAGTAAACCAGGAAGAAGTTGAATCTCTGAATAGACCAATATCAGGCTCTGAAATTGTGGCAGTAATCAATAGCTTATCAACCAATAACAGTCCAGGACCAGATGGATTCACAGCCGAATTCTACCTGAGGTACAAGGAGGAACTGGTACTATTCCTTCTGAAACTATTCCAATCAATAGAAAAAGAGGGAATCATCCCTAACTCATCTTATGAGACCAGCATCATCCTGATAACAGAGCCTGGCAGAGACAGAACCAAAAAAGAGAATTTTAGACCAATATCCTTGATGAACATTGATGCAAAAATCCTCAATAAAATACTGACAAACCAAATCCATCAGCACATCAAAAAGCTTATCCACCATGATCAAGTAGGCTTAATCCCTAGGATGCAAGGCTTGTTCAATATATGCAAATCAATAAAGGTAATCCAGCATATAAACAGAGCCAAAGACAAAAACCACATGATTATCTCAATAGATGCAGAAAAGCCCTTTGACAAAATTCAGCAAACCTTCATGATAAAAACTCTCGATAAATTAGGCATTGATGGGACATATCTCAAAATAGTAAGAGCTGTCTATGACAAACCCACGGCCAATATCATACTGAATGGGCAAAAACTGGAAGCATTCCCTTTGAAAACTGGCACAAGAAAGGGATGCCCTCTCTCATCACTCCTATTCAACACAGTGTTGAAAGTTGTGGCCAGGGCAATTAGGCAGGAGAAGGAAATAAAGGGTATTCGATTAGGAAAAGAGGAAGTCAAATTGTCCCTGTTTGCAGATGACATGATTGTATATCTAGAAAACCCCATTGTCTCAGCCCAAAATCTCCTTAAGCTGATAAGCAACTTCAGCAAGTTCTCAGGATAAAAAATCAATGTACAAAAATCACAAGCATTCTTGTACACCAATAACAGACCAACAGAGAGGCAAATCATGGGTGAACCCCCATTCACAATTGCTTCAAAGAGAATACAATACCGAGGAATCCAACTTACAAGGGATGTGAAAGACCTCTTCATGGAGAGGTCACAAACCACTGCTCAATGAAATAAAAGAGGATACAAACAAATGGAAGGACAATCCATGCTCATGGGTTGGAAGAATCAATATTGGAAAAAAACTAAAGTTTCTATGGAACCAAAAAAGATCCCACATCGCCAAGTCAATCCTAAGCCAAAAGAACAAAGCTGGCGGCATCAGGCTACCTGACTTCAAACTATACTACAAGGCTACAGTAACCAAAACAGCATGGTACTGGTACCAAAACAGAGATATAGATCAATGGAACAGAACAGAGCCCTCAGAAATAGTGCCGCATATTTACAACTTTCTGATCTTTGACAAACCTTGTAAAAACAAGCAATGGGGAAAGGATTCCCTATTTAATAAATGGTGCTGGAAAAACTGGCTAGCCATATGTAGAAAGCTGAAACTGGATCCTGTCCTTACACATTATACAAAAATTAATTCAAGATGGATTAAAGACTTACATGTTAGACCTAAAATCATAAAAACCCTAGAAGAAAACCTAGGCAATACCATTCAGGACATAGGCATGGGCAAGGATTTCATGTCAAAACCATTCTCCCCATCACTTTCAAGTACACCAATCAAACTTAGATTTGGTCTTTTCACATAGTCCCATATTTCTTGGAGGCTTTGTTCATTTCCTTTTACTCTTTTTCTCTAAACTTCACTTCTCACTTCATTTCATTCATTTGATCTTCCATCACTGATACCCTTTCTTCCACTTGATTGAATCGGCTACAGAAACTTGTGCATGTGTCATGTAGTTCTCATGCCATGGTTTTCAGCTCTGTCAGGTCATTTAAGGTCTTCTCTATGCTCTTTATTCTAGTTAGCCATTTATCTAATCTTTGTTCAAGGTTTTTAGCTTCCTTGCAATGGGTTCGAACATCCTCCTTTAGCTCAGAGAAGTTTGTTATTACTGACCTTGTAAAGCCTACTTCTGTCAACTCATCAAAGTCATTCTCCATCCAGCTTTGTTCCATTGCTGGCAAGGAGCTTCAATCCTTCGGAGGAGAAGCGGCGCTCTGGTTTTTTGAATTTTCAACTTGCCTTCTCTGGTTTCCCCCCATCTTTGTAGTTTTATCTATCTTTGGTCTTTAATGATGGTGACCTACAGATGTGGTTTTGGTGTGGATGTCCTTTTTGTTGATGCTGTTCCTTTCTGTTTGCTAGTTTTCCTTCTAACAATCAGGACCCTCAGCTGCAGGTCTGTTGGAGTTTGTTGGAGGTCCACTCCAGACCCTGTTTGCCTGAGTGTCACCAGTGGAGGCTGCAGAACAGCAAATATTGCTGCCTGATCCTTCTTCTGGAAGCTTCATCTCAGAGGGACACCTGGCTGTATGAGGTGTCTGTAAACCCCTACTGGCAGCTCTGTCCATTCTCAGAGTTCAAACTCCATGCTGGAGAACCACTGCTCTCTTCAGAGCTGTCAGACAGGGATGTTTAAGTCTGCAGAAGTTTCTGCTGCCTTTTAATCAGCTATACCCTGCCCCCAGAGGTGGAGTCTATAGAGGTTGCCAGGCCTCATTGAGCTGCAGTGAGCTCCACCCAGTTCAGGTTTCCCAGCTGCTTTGTTTACCTACTCAATCCTCAGCAATGGTGGACGCCCCTCTCCCAGGCCATGCTGCCACCTTGCAGTTCGATCTCGGACTGCTGCACTATCAGTAAACAAGGCTGTGTGGGCATGGGACCCACCGAGCCATGCATGGGATATAATATCCTGGTGTGCCGTTTGCTAGGACCATTGGAAAAGCACAGTATTAGGGTGGGACTGTCCGGATTTTCCAGGTACCATCTGTCACGGCTTCCCTTGGCTAGGAAAGGGAAATCCCCCGACCACTTTTGCTGCTTCCCAGATGAGGCGACGCCCTGCCCTGCTTCGGCTCACCCTCTGTGGCCTGCACCCACTGTCTGACCCGTCTCAGTGCGATGAACAAGGTACCTCAGTAGGAAATACAGAAATCACCTGTCTTCTACGTCAATTATGCTGAGAGCTGCAGACAGGAGCTGTTCCTATTTGCCCATCTTGGAATGATCCTCTCTTTTCATTTATTTAAAAAATATTTGAAAAGCAAAGATTTCATCATTTTGGTGAAGTCTAATTTATCTGTTTTTCTTTTATGGAACATGTTTTTGATATTATATCTAAGAAAACTTTTCTTAGTCCAAGGTCATAAATATTTTATCCTATTTTTTTTTCCTAGGAGTTTTACAGTTTTAGCTTATACAATTAGGTCTATGATCCATTTTAGTTAATTTTCGTATATGACCTAAGGATCTAGGTTTAGTTTTTGTAAATGAATAACCAGTTCTTATAGAATCATTTGTTGAAAGAACATCTTTTTCCTATTGAATTGTCTTAGCATCTTTGATGAAAATTAATTGACTATTTATGTGGTTGGATTCTGAAATCCACTTAGTTCCATTGATCTATCTATCTCTCTTAATGTGGATTCTACACTGTCTTGACTACTGTTGCTTTACACTGAATTTTAAAATAAGGCAGTATTAAGTACTCTAACTTCATTCTTACTTAGCAAGATTGTTTTGGCTATTCTAGGTATTTTTCTATTTCTATATAATTTTAGAATCAGCTTGTCAATTTTTCCAATAATCTTTCTAGACTTTTGGCAGGAATTGAAGTTAATTTGTAGATCAATTGACAACTAACAATATTGAGTCATCTAATCCATTAATATGATATATCTCTCTATTTATTTAGGCATTTATCTGAGTGATGTTTTTTAGTTTTCAGTGCAAAGGTTTCACACTTATTTTGTTAAATTTATTCCTAATTATTATTGCTATAGTTTGAGTGTCTCTACCAAAACTCATGTTGGAATGCTTAAGAGGTGGGGCCTAATGGGAAGTGTTTGGGTCTTGGGAGCTCTTCCTTTGTGGGCAGCTTGGTACTATTCTTACACTGGTGAGTGAGTTCTCACTGTCGTGAGATTAGTTCTCTCAGGAATGGATTAGTTACCATGAGAATGAGTTGCTATACGGTGAGGTCACACTTCATGTTTGGCCTCCTGGTACATGCCTACTCCTCTTTGACCTTCTTCTACCATGTTGTGACACAACACTAAAGCTTTCACCAGAACCCAAGCAGATGCCAGTGTCTTTCTTTCCAGCCTGCAGAACTGCAAGCCAAATATATCTCTTTATAAATTACTCAGTCTCCAATATTCTGTTATAGCAACACAAAACAGACTAAGACAGAAAATTGGTACTGAGAGTGGGATGTTGCTATTTAGATCCTCAAAAATGCAGAAGCATCATTGGAATTGGGTAATGGGCAGAAGTTGGAAAAGTTTGATGGAGCAGACTAGAAAAAGACTGTATTGCCATAAACAGAGCATTAAGGATAATTTCACTGAGGGCTCAAAAGATAACAAAAAGATTAGAGAAAGTTTAGAATTTCTTAGAGATTGGTTAAGTAGTCATTACCACAATGCTGATAAAAATATGGACAGCAAAGGCCATTCTAATGAGATCTCAGATAGAAATGAGGAACAAGGTATTAGGAACTGGAGACCAAATAATCCTTGTTAGACAATAGCAAAAATTTGACTTTGTTGTTTCTAAGGCTTTGTACCCTAAGGTTTTGTGGAAGGCCAAACTTAAGTGTGATGAACTACGGTACCTGGCAGAAGAAATTTCTAAGCAAAATATAGAGCAGCTATGTACTTACTCCTTACTACATTCAGTGAAATGCAAAACGACAAGGGAAGCAAACACAAAAATTTGAAAATTAATAGCCTGGCCATGTGGAAGAGAATGAAAGAGCATTTTCAGGTGAGGAATCCAAGGGTGCAGCAGAACAACCAATACTAAAGAGATTAGCACTGAGAGAAGAAAGCCAGTTGACAATTATTGAGACAATTTTTTAAAGGCCCTGAAGACGTTTCAGAAATTTTTGAGGTTGCCTCTCCAGAGGTCTAGGAGGACAGAATGGTTTTAAGAGACAGAACCCATGCATCACTGCCCTGTGCTGTTTTGAGATCCTGCTCCCCAAATTCTGGCACAGCCCTCAGCAGCCACCCCAGCCATGGCACAATCATACTCAGGTGTGGCTCAGGCTGCCATTCCTCAAGATACAAACCATAAACCTTGGTGGCACGCAGTCATTGATCAAGCAGCCTCAGATACAGCTCATGACAGCACTCTGGAGGGTGCAAGCGGTAACCCTTGATGGCTTTTACAACCATGTGGTACTTGTTTTGCAGATGCGCAGAATACAAGAGAAGTGGAGGCATGGTGGCTGCCACTTAGATTTTAAGGAATGTACTGAAAAGACTGGGAGCTCAGGTGGAGACTTGTTGCAGGGCCAGAGCCACTGCAGTGTACCTCCCCTAGGGCAATGCTGAGCAGAAATGTAGGGTTGGAGCTGCCACAAAGTGTCTGTACAAGGGCAATGCCTAGTGAATCCATGAAGTGGACCACCACTGGGACTCCAGAACTATAGAGCCATTGCCACCATGCAACCTCAGCCTGGAAAGGCCACTGGTATCCAAATCCAACCAGGGAGAGTAGCCATGTGGCTATGCCCAACAAAGTAATGGAGGTGGGGCTGCCCAAGGCTTAAAGGATAAAAACTTCCCACTGTGCTCAGGAGGTAGCACATGGAGTGGAGAATTATTCTGGAGCTTTAAGATTTAATGTCTGCCCTGCTGAGTTTTGAACTTGCTTGAGGCCTGTCACCTCTTTCTTCTTTTGGCCTATTTCTCCCTTTTGGAATGGAACTGTCTGCCATATGACTATTCCACCGTTGTATCTTGTAAGTAAATAACTTGTTTGTTTTTTTTTTTATTTTATTTTACAGGCTCATAGCTAGAAGGAACTTGCCTTGAGTCTTATATGAGACTTTGGACTTTAACCTTTGAATTGTTACTGGAATACATTAAGACTTTGGACTTTAACCTTTGAATTGTTACTGGAATACATTAAGACTTTGAGGACCATTGAGATTGAATAATTATATTTTGTAGTGTAAGAGGGACATGAGTTTGGGTTTCCAAGTATGGAATGCCATGGTTTCCGTGTTTCTGTCAAAAATCATGTTGGAACCTCTAAGAGGTAGGGCCTAATGGGAGATGCTTGGGTCATGGGGACTCTGACATTTTGAGCAGCTTGGTGCAGTCCTCATATAGTGAGTGAGTTCTTGCTCTCATGAAACTGGATTGGTTCCTGTGGGAATAGATTAGTTGCCCTGAGAATGGATTGTTATAAAGCAACCCATTGTACAAGGTTGTACCTTGTGTTTGGCCTCTTGGCACATTCCCACGTCCTCTTCTGCCATGTTGTGATGTACTGCTAAAGCCCTCACCAGAAGTTAAGCAGATACTGGTGCCATGCTTCTTGAACTTCCCAGTCTGGAGAAACATGAGCTAAATAAAACTCTTTATACAGTCTCAGGTGTTCTATTATAACAACATAAAACAAACTAAGACATTTATTTTTGATGCTATTGTGATTGGAATTGTTTTCTTTATTTCATCTTTGTTTTGTTTGTTGCTACTATATATATAACCGATTTTTGTATATTGATCATATACTCTACAAACTTACTAACCCCCCCTCTTAGTTCTAGTAAATCTGGGAGGGGGTGTGGTATGTGGGTGTGTGTGTGGGTGTGTTCCTTAGGATTTTCTGCATAAAGGCTAACAATAAAAAGAGTTATCTTTTTTCCATACCTTTTTCCTTGACTATTGCACAAATTAAGACCTGTGGTGCATTGTTAAATAGAAGTGGTAAACACAGATATCTTTGCATGTTTCCTAATCTAGAGGGAAGCACATTCTTACCATTAAGTATGTTGGCTATAGGCTTCTGGTAGATGCCTTGATCATTTGAAGTAGTTCCCTTCTATTCATAAGTTGATGAGATTTTTTTAAATATATGAGTGTTGAATTCTGTCAAATGCTTTTCTGCATCTATTGAGGTGATCATATGGTTTTGTCCTTTATTCTGTTAATATAGTTTATTACATTGATTTTTGGATGTTAGGTCAACCTCACATTCTTGAGATAAACTTCATTTGATTGTGGTATAAAATCCTTTTCATATGTTGCTCAATTACATTTGCTAATATTTGGTTAAGAATTTTTATGTCTAGTTTCACAAGGGATATTGATATATAGCTATGTTTTCTTGTAATGTCTTTGTCTTGTTTTGATATCAGGGTAATATTGATATCAAATGAAATAAAGTTAGTTGGGAAGTTTCCTTCATCCTCTATTTGCTGAATAAAGTTTTTGTAACACTGGTATTATTTCCTCCCTTAATAGTTTGATAGAATTCACCAGTGAAGTATATTTTTTTCTCTATAGGAAGATTTGAAATTACTGATGCAATTTCTTTACTTGATATTGGTATTTGTTTTTTTTTTTTCTTTTGCCTTGAGTCAGTTTTGGTAATTTGTGTCTTTCTAGGAATTGTTCTATTTTATTTAAGTTGTCAAATTTTTTGCCTTAAAGTTATTATGCTATTTTCTTTACATCCTTTTAAGGGTAGGGTCTGTGGTGATATTTCTCTTTGATTCTTGATTTTGGGAATTAGTGTCTTCTTTCTTTTTTCTTGGTCAATTTCACTAAATATTATTTATCGTCTTGACTTTCTGAAATAAGCAATTTTGGGTTTCTTTGGTTGTTTTTAATGTTATCCTGTTCTGTATTTATCGTTTTCCACTGTGACATTTTTATTTCATACATCCTACTTACTTTCAGCTTGGTTTACTCCTCTTTTTCTAGAGTCTTAAGATGGAAGTTTTAATTATCAATTTTAGATTATTTTTTCTGTTTTTAAAGCTATACATTTTCCTCTATACACTGCTTTAATTGTATCCTGTAAATATTGCTATGTTATTGGTTTTTTGTATTTTAAGTTTATAACATTTTATTTAGAAAAATAGGCTGGGGGAAAATGATTTATACCACTGCATTCTTTCCTGGGGGAGAACTATTTTGGGCCATTTTTGAAATTTTTTTTCCTCTTAACAATTTTCAGAGTCACATTTGAATTCTTTCCGAATGATATTTGTCAACAAAAAAGTTCAAGTGAAAAGGAGGAGGGAAACTGCGGAAGCATGAAGAAAGGGAGTGAAAGAATGAGGAGTGGGCATACAATAGTCAACACATAAAGAAACGGCTTTTACTGAAATGACTCTGCCCTGTGCCTCATGCACTAGGTGATGCAAGCATGCTGCTCAGACATCAACACTAAATGTCATTTAGAAATGGTAGTCTTCTCTGGGTTCTGAAGGACACTTGTTCCCCAACATGACACTATTAAATGATGCTTTCAAGGCAGACACTAAGACATTACTCCAAAGAGAAGGCTCTGGTGGCAGATGCTGGGGCCATATTCTTTATAGTCCTTCTTGGTGTGACAGACCTGAAATAACTCCAGAGTTGAGGCTAGCATTAAGCTTCCAAACCATAAGGCATAGTGCTGCATGTGATGGATTACCACCCGAACCTCTGTAAG
The DNA here is from genome assembly GCF_000001405.40 of Homo sapiens. Classification (NCBI taxonomy): domain Eukaryota; kingdom Metazoa; phylum Chordata; class Mammalia; order Primates; family Hominidae; genus Homo; species Homo sapiens. The sequence continues at coordinate 11,396,901 of NC_000024.10, read as the reverse complement.
CTTAGGTTTGATTCTCCTGCCACTGAGCTCCTTACTGAGTTTTAATCTGGCATGTACCACTCTTCAAATCTCTCTGTAGTTGAGATTCAAATCCCTGAATATGGTCAAACCCCTTGAAAGAACAACATTCTTATACAGTGGACAACGCACATCAATAGGACAGTTTTGTATTCATCAACAACATTCAAGATGGATTCCATAAAGTCTGGGTTGGCAAACTCTGGGTAAAAAAAATATTTCAGGTTGTAGGAATCTTTTGTAACCAACGTCTATTATGAACTTCTCCTGGTTGATCACATTGATACCTGTGTACTGTTTGACCCACTTCCAGGGATCCACATCATACTTAGCAAATTCCTTGACTATATCAGGGCAAATGTAACAGTATTTCTCCTTAATGGCTTTTGTGGTCTCCAGTGACGTTCAAGAGGGATTCCTACCTCCCTCTCCCTTAGCAGTTGTTGAATGAAATACACAGTATCACCTACAATCAGGATGTGATTGATGCAGCTCCCAATTACATAACCTTCTACAACTGGGAGAATAAGGGTGACTCCATCTCCTTTGTCAATGACTATACTCATTAACATATATTCACCCACTTGTTGAGATGTCCAAGATACTTCCAAGGCTAGTACCTCCTGAACTGCAATGTAGAATCCTGGTACATTAAATAATTCAAACATAATTTCTGAAAAAATATTCTGTATTTTCTAGTGTATTCAGTGGAAGTTCTGTCATTAAAAAATAATGGTCCTCAGATTCTGCTCAAAGATATTTAAAAACCACTTGCTCCATGAACATTTCCATAATATCCCAGTCTTCAGTGATTCCATGTCATATTGACCACTTTGTGGCATACATAGATTTATCAATGGCTTCATCCTGTATGAAAAAGTCAAGCTCATCAACTCCCCTCAACATTCTCCCTTGGGCTTTGTCAACTACCTTTGCTGACTCTCTGATAGTAATGCATGAAAGAATAGTAAACTATGGCTCAGTGTTGCCTGCATAGCCAAGCTCGGAATATCTACTGAGGTGATCACAGAGCTGAGACCCAGAGCAGTGGGTGCAGTTCAATCTCCAGGTGTGGGCTGGATGTCAGGGGCTGAGAGCAAGGCAATGGAGGAGCCAGGGTGGGCACTGAGTGGCTCTTACCTGATGCCACAGTCTGCCACACAGGAAGGCAGGAACCCCGCCATGCTTGGAATACACAACACTTAGCCCCACTGGCCACCCTGGATTACACTGCCACCATCCACTTGGCAACCCACTCACCCCATACAACCTGTCTCCTGTGTGTTTCCACTTTTATTTATTTTAAGATATATTGTAGATGGGTGTAGCAAACCACATGGCACGTGTATACTTATGTAACAAACCTGCACGTTCTGCACATGTATCCCAGAACTTAAAGTACAATAAATTTTTAAAAAGGAATATTTTAAAGGATCAACCTACTATTTGACAGTCATGGAAATAGTGAATGAGAATTAAAGGGAAAAAAATAAGTAAGCAAAGGAAGGGAGGAGGAAAGGGAAAAAGAAAGGAAAGAAAAGGAAAAGGGAAATACAAGAAAAGGAGACAAATAAATAAATAACTAAACAAATAAGTGACTGAAAGTCTGAGAGTTGGCAAATATTATTCAGACAACACTGACAAAATAGGCCTCTTGCTAAAAATAGCAGAATGCACAAAGTACAGTAGCAGCCTGTCTGTCCTGAGAAGCTGGGGAGGTTTAGGAAAAGAGGCTGGGGAGATTTGAGACAGGTCTGACATATATTGTCAGTTTTTGTTTGGTGGAAAAAGTAATCATGGGTGATTCAGAAAAAGGAAGCTACTTACATAATAATTGTTTTGTACCTTTTTAGTCTTCTATTACTTTCATAAAATTATCTTTGCATCAAAAGTTATTAACACTTTCAGGACTCCTTGTATGCAAAATTCTTTGAATTGCATTTCTTAATTTGTGATTGCACTGGTAATTTATCTAGCACAATGAACTGAATGTGTGTCTTTATGTTTAAAGGGAAAAATAAAATTCAAAACAGAATATTTGATATAATTTATGATTAGATAATAGAGAAATATCAATTTTAATATAATTTTTAGAAAGTAAAGCTTAGGCCAGTCACCATGGCTCATGCCTGTAATCCCAGCACTTTGGGAGGCTGAGGCGGGTGGATCACCTGAGGTCAGGAGTTCAAGACCAGCCTGATCAACATGGAGAAACCCTGTCTCTACTAAAAATACCAAATTAGCCAGCAATAACGATTCATGAGAAATGTGCCCCCATGATCCATTCACCTCCCAGCAGGACCTATCACCAACTTTGGGGATTACAATTCAACACGAGATTTGGGCAGGGACACATATCCAAACTATATCAACAGAGCTTCATTGTGTTGCTCGGGCTAGTCTCAAACTCCTAGCCTCAAGCAATACTTCTATCTCAGCCTCCCAAGTACCTTTGGGGATTATAATAATCAATCACCTTCACTTTTTACAATCTACTTTGGTTTAATAATTTTTACTTAATTCCAGTGTTATATAGCAACTTTGATCCAATGTATCTCTTATATGCTATGAACTCAGTAGTATTGTTATAGTTATTGCCTATAATAATCAGATGCTTTTTTAAAAAAAGAGATGAAATCAGAATACACACAGACACACACACACACACACACACACACACAATCTTTTATACTTACAAATTTATTTACCATTTCCCGTGCCGTTTATTCCTTATAGGTTCAAGTTGTCATCTGGTGTCATATCCTTTTATCTTAAAAGCATTTTCTTTAGTGTTTCTTTAGCAAGGATAAGTTCTTTTTATTTTTATTTATATGGAAATGTCTTTATTTCAGCTTCATATTTGAAGGATCATTAACTGGATACAGAATTCTTAATTGACAGTTATTTTTCCCTCCAATTTTGAAATGTCACTTCATAAGGCCTCCATTTTTTCAGATAAAAATGCCAGTATTGTACATTGATTTTGTATCCTGAGACTTTGCTGAAGTTGCTTATCAGCTTAAGGAGATTTTGGGCTGAGACGATGGGGTTTTCTAGATAAACAATCATGTCGTCTGCAAACAGGGACAATTTGACTTCCTCTTTTCCTAATTGAATATCCTTTATTTCCTTCTCCTGCCTGATTGTCCTGGCCAGAACTTCCAACACTATGTTGAATAGGAGCGGTGAGAGAGGGCATCCCTGTCTTGTGCCAGTTTTCAAAGGGAATGCTTCCAGTTTTTGCCCATTCAGTATGATATTGGCTGTGGGTTTGTCATAGATAGCTCTTATTATTTTGAAATACGTCCCATCAGTACCTAATTAATTGAGAGTTTTTAGCATGAAGGGTTGTTGAATTTTGTCAAAGGCTTTTTCTGCATCTATTGAGATAATCATGTGGTTTTTGTCTTTGGTTCTGTTTATATGCTGGATTACATTTATTTATTTGCGTATATTGAACCAGCCTTGCATCCCAGGGATGAAGCCCACGTGATCATGGTGGATAAGCTTTTTGATGTGCTGCTGGATTCTGTTTGCCAGTATTTTATTGAGGATTTTTGCATCAATGTTCATCAAGGATATTGGTCTAAAATTCTCTTTTTTGGTTGTGTCTCTGCCCGGTTTTGGTATCAGAATGATGCTGGCCTCATAAAATGAGTTAGGGAGGATTCCCTCTTTTTCTATTGATTGGAATAGTTTCAGAAGGAATGGTACACAAACATTCTTATACACCAACAACAGACAAACAGAGAGCCAAATCATGAGTGAACTCCCATTCACAATTGCTTCAAAGAGAATAAAATACCTAGGAATCCAACTTACAAGGGAAGTGAAGGACCTCTTCAAGGAGAACTACAAACCACTGCTCAAGGAAATAAAAGAGGACACAAACAAATGGAAGAACATTCCATGCTCATGGGTAGGAAGAATCAATATCGTGAAAATGGCCATACTGCCCAAGGTAATTTACAGATTCAATGCCATCCCCATCAAGCTACCAATGACTTTCTTCACAGAATTGGAAAAAACTACTTTAAAGTTCATATGGAACCAAAAAAGAGCCCGCATCGCCAAGTCAATCCTAAGCCAGAAGAACAAAGCTGGAGGCATCACACTACCTGACTTCAAACTATACTACAAGGCTACAGTAACCAAATCAGCATGGTACTGGTACCAAAACAGAGATATAGATCAATGGAACAGAACAGAGCCCTCAGAAATAATGCCGCATATCTACAACTATCTGATCTTTGACAAACCTGGGAAAAACAAGCAATGGGGAAAGGATTCCGTATTTAATAAATGGTGCTGGGAAAATTGGCTAGCCATATGTAGAAAGCTGAAACTGGATCCCTTCCTTACACCTTATACAAAAATCAATTCAAGATGGATTAAAGATTTAAACGTTAGACCTAAAACCATAAAATCCCTAGAAGAAAACCTAGGCATTACCATTCAGGACATAGGCGTGGGCAAGGACTTCATGTCCAAAACACCAAAAGCAATGGCAACAAAAGCCAAAATTGACAAATGGGACCTAATTAAACTCAAGAGCTTCTGCACAGCAAAAGAAACTACCATCAGAATGAACAGGCAACCTACAACATGGGAGAAAATTTTCGCAACCTACTCATCTGACAAAGGGATAATATCCAGAATCTACAATGAACTCAAACAAATTTACAAGAAAAAAACAAACAACCCCATCAAAAAGTGGGCGAAGGACATGAACAGACATTTCTCAAAAGAAGACATTTATGCAGCCAAAAAACACATGAAGAAATGCTCATCATCACTGGCCATCAGAGAAATGCAAATCAAAACCACAATGAGATATCATATCACACCAGTTAGAATGGCAATCATTAAAAAGTCAGGAAACAACAGGTGCTGGAGAGGATGTGGAGAAATAGGAACATTTTTACACTGTTGGTGGGACTGTAAACTAGTTCAACCATTGTGGAAGTCAGTGTGGCGATTCCTCAGGGATCTAGAACTAGAAATACCATTTGACCCAGCCATCCCATTACTGGGTATATACCCAAAGGACTATAAATCATGCTGCTATAAAGACACATGCACAGTATGTTTATTGCGGCACTATTCACAATAGCAAAAACTTGGAACCAACCCAAATGTCCAACAATGATAGACTGGATTAAGAAAATGTGGCACATATACACCATGGAATACTATGCAGCCATAAAAAATGATGAGTTCATGTCCTTTGTAGGGACATGGATGAAATTGGAAACCATCATTCTCAGTAAACTATCGCAAGAACAAAAAACCAAACACCGCATATTCTCACTCATAGGTGGGAATTGAACAATGAGATCACATGGACACAGGAAGGGGAATATCACACTCTGGGGACTGTGGTGGGGTCGGGGGAGGGGGGAGGGATAGCATTGGGAGATATACCTAATGCTAGATGACACGTTAGTGGGTGCAGCGCACCAGCATGGCACATGTATACATATGTAACTAACCTGCACAATGTGCACATGTACCCTAAAACTTAGAGTATAATAAAAAAAAAAGTAAAAAAAGTAAAAAAAAAAAAAAAATGCCAGTATTGATAACATTATTGTTCCCCTGTATGTGATAAGCCGTCTCTTGCTACTTTCATGATTTTCTTATTATCCTTGGTTTTCACCAATTTGACAAGGATGGCTCTAGGTGTGAATCTCTTTGTGTTTATCCTAGTTGAGATTTGTTGGATGTCTTATATCTGAAGATTAATGTTTTTCATAGCATTTTTGAAGTTTTCAGACATTATGTTTTCAAATATTTTTCTGCCCTCTTATCTCTCTCTTCTCCTGGAATTCCCATTATGCGTATGTTAGTGCTCCTGATCGTATCCCATAAGTTTCTGAGGATCTGTTTATTATCCTTCATTCTTTTTTCTTTTTGTTCTTCAGATTGATTAACCTCTATTGGTCTACCTTCAAGTTCACTGATACTTTCTTTCACAAGGTCAAATATGCTACTGAACCTCGCTGGTGATTTTTTCACTTTAACTGTTGTACTTTTAAATTCTAGATTCTATTTTTAAACGTATTCTGTCTCCTTATTCATATTCTCTATTAGACAACACATTATCATATTTTTAATTTGAACATATTTATAATATATACTTTGAAAACTTTCTTTCTAAATCCAATATCTGAATTGAGACAGTTTCTATTCACTGCTTTTTTTCCAGAGTATGAGTCATATTTTCCTGTTTCCTTACATGTCTGATAATTTTTAATTTAAAACTAAACACTTTAATTACACATTATAGCAAATCTGGATTTGGTTTTTATTTGTTACTGTCTTTGTTGTTGTTCTGTTTTTGTAATTGGCCTATACTTGTGCTGTGTAATCCTTCTGCCTAGTGGTTTTCAACATTGATGTCTTTTATATTGTGTTGTTGTTGTTACTGTTGTTTTAGCCTGTTTTTCTAGGGATTTCCTTTGTGTCTGTTGCATAGCATGATTTTTGAGAGACATTATATTAAAGCTAGTAAGGCTTCCGCTCTCTGCCAAATAATCTGTGGGTGGGTAGGTGAATGCATTCAAAGTTGCAATTAATACTCAAGTCTTACTTCATTTTTACTTTTTGTCATGCTCTCTTGAGTCTTTCCTGCACTTCCATACTTTTCCAATCGGCCATATGTGTGGAGAACTTTTCTCAAACTTTCTATGGTTCTCTGCTTTCCAGGATTTCTCTCTCTCTCTTTTTTTTTTTTAGTAATACTCAGGTTTTTAATTTATTATAGTGAATGGATACAAAGCAAAATTAGCAAAGGGAAAAAGTTGTATGTGGTAAAGTCTGGAGGATACCAGGCACAAGCTTCCTGGAATCATCTCCTGTGGAGTTACAAGGATGTGTTTCTCTTTCCCAGCATGAAATTTTGACAGCACATGTGCAATGTCATCTACCAGGACCAGAGTCTCATTAGAGACTCAGTACTCAGGATTTTATGGAGGTTACTCTCCTTCACATGTACCAGAATTCCAGACTCCCAGAGGAAAAGCAGCTGTTCAGAGTAAACCACATTGTTTGTATAAACAGTTTAGGCACAGTGAGCCACTCTTCTCAATGAGAGAATTGGAACTTGGAACTCGAAAACTCTAGCCTTGCATGTGGGTCTTTCTTTTCTTTCTTTCCTTCTTTCTTTCTTTCTTTCTTTCTTTCTTTCTTTCTTTCTTTCTTCTTTCTTTCTTTCTTTCCTTCCTTCTTTCTTTCTTCTTTCTCTCTTTCTCTCTCTCTTTATTTCTTTCTTCCTCTTTCATTCTTTGTTTCTTTCTCTCTTTCTTTCTTTCTCTTTCTTTCTTTCTTTCTTTTTTAATTTTACTTTGATTTCCAGGATACATGTGCAGAACATTCAGGTTTGTTACACAGGTATACATGTGCCATGGTGGTTTGCTGTACCTATTGAACCTCAGGATCTCTCATTTAAATTTTTATCTTGTCTTCCACTTCCCCAATTGAAACTGCAACCTCAGACTAGCAAATCTGCAATTCTCTCTGTTCATTCCCAAACCACTCTGCTATATTTAACTGGCAAAACCATTGATTTCTTCCCTCTACTCCATATCAAATCCACCCCTGTCCCCAGCCCTAACAGGAAAGCTGCTGGGTTTTACATTCAGCTTCAAACTTGTAAAACTACAGTTTTTCCCAACTGAGCTTGGGGGTGAGAAGAGAGATGGGAGTGTATTAGTCCGTTGTCATTCTGCTGATAAAGACATACCCAAGACTGGGAAGAAAAAGAGGTTTAATTGGACTTATAGTTCCAGGTGGCTGAGGAGACCTCAGAATCATGGCGGGAGGTGAAAAGCACTTCTTACATGGTGGCGGCAAGAGAAAATGAGGAAGATGCAAAAGCAGAAACCCCTGATAAAGCCATCAGATCTTGTGAGACTTATCCACTACCACGAGAACAGTATGCGGGGAAGCTACCCCCATAATTCAATTATCTCCCACCAGGCTCCTCCCACAACACATAGGAATTATGGGAGCACAATTCAAGATGAGATTTGGATGGGGACACAAAGCCAAACCATATCAAGGAACAACCCCAGTCAGGAAGGGCTCAGATTTTACCAATCCTACCCAAAACCTTAACACTTTTTTCAAGAAAAAATGCTTCTTAAATATGATAACTGCCTTTGATGAGTTTTCGGGGTCCTGAAATGATTGTTTTTGGTATTTCTGCAATTTCTGGGGGAAGTTTTGGTGGGGAAATAAATTGCCAACCTTTTCATGTCACCTCCCAACCTTATCTTTATATCCTCTGATTAACAAATTTCATTAGTAATGTGTTACACAACAAATACTTGTTTAGACTAACCTACATTTTACCAATTTCTTTGCACATTGTTCCATCTTTTTTGGTTCTATGTCATATTTCTAAAGCATATCTTTCAGTAGATTTTTCCCTGGTAAAAAATGGCATATGTTCTTAACTGTGTTTATTTGACAATATCTTTCATTTGTCTTTTGTTCGAGTGACAGTTAACTGGCTACAGAATTCAACATTGAATGTTTTATTTACTTTGAAGACTTTATTTAACTATCTTCCATCTTCTATTGTTGCTGATAAGAATTGAGAATCTGTTCTATTGTTTATTCAATTATGATTAATCTCTCTTTCTCTGTCTAGATTATTTAAGATTTTATTTTTGCCTTTGGTAGTCTATAGTTTCTCAACATTTTATCTAAGTATCTATTTTTACTTAATCCTGATTAGAACTCATTTGACTTCCTGTGTCCAAATCAATGAAAACCCTAATCAATTCTGTAAAATTTGAAGTCAGTTTTCTTCTCAAATATTATATCTTCTTCATTCTTTCAATTATGTTTCTAAAACTACCATTAGTTGTGTTTTAGATCTTTTCCATAATCTAAATCTCTCATTTTCCACCTCGTTTTTTTGTGTGTGTGTGCTATGCTCTTAAATAATTTCCTCATATCTACTACTTTGCTGTGTTGTCTCTTCAGCTTTGTCTAAATTGCTATTTGGGTAGTTAGTGGGTTTTTTTTCAGTTGAGTAAATTTTAAAGTTTTTTTCTAGATGTTCTATTTAATTATTTTACAATACTTTCAAGTAATTTCTTCTTCTCATGTTTCCAATTTTTAAAAATTGTCTCTAGTCCCTTTGAAAATACATATTTTATAGTGTCTATCTAGTGGTTCTATTAGCTGAGGTTTTTAGACATGTAATCCCATTCTTTGTTGTATCTGTTAACTTTTGCTCATGGGATATTTCTTCTTATTTTAAGTTCAGATTCACTTTGCTTTACCTTTGAGACTTTATGCAGTCTGGGATCAGGAGTGTCTATTAGAGATTTTTTGAATTAGCATCTACTAAGTGTTCTAGGGATACTTCTATGCAGGGACACTTTTATGGTAGGTTTAGAACTTTGGGATCCCTAACCTGTGCACGTAATGTAATTTGAGCCCTACACATAAGTTGGATGAGGCCAGTTTTACATATGAATTCTCAAAAAAGACTTTGCCACAAAGAGACCAGCTAATACAAACTGCCTTGTCTTCTCAATTTGTCAGTAGGATGACATTTTCTGGTCCGTGTTTTTTATTTTTTTGTTTTTTGTTTTGTTTTGTTTTGTTTTCTTGAGATGGAGTTTTGCTTTTGTTACCCAGGCTGGAGTGAAGTGGCACCATCTCAGCTCACTGCAATGTCTGCCTCCTGGGTTCAAGCAATTCTCGTACCTCAGCCTCCCAAGTAGCTGGGATTACAGGCATGCACCACCAGGCCAGGCTAATTGTCTGTATTTTTAATAGAGACGGCGTTTCACCGTGTTGGTCAGGCTCATCTTGAACTCCTGACCTCAGGTGATCCACCCACCTCGGCCTCCCAAAGTGCTGGGATTACAGGCGCGAGCCACCATGCCCAGCCTGGTCCATTATTTTAGTGACAGTTTAACCCTCCAAGGCTTCCAGTTTTGCAAGATGACAATAATCAGAGGGGAGGAAGAAAGAAACTTTGTTCTAACTTTCTGCCTGGAGTGAGTCAAAATCCTCCTTTTCTACCCTGGCAAATTCTATACAGTCAGAAAAGGGTCATAGCTAAAAAATTCATGTAAGCTGTTTTAAGAATATTAAAAACATTAGCAATTATGATTCATAGCAAATAAAGGTAGCCATTTAATTAGCAAATGGAAATTTACCAAGTTATTTTCTGTCCTTTACAGAAACCTATGGATTCCTCAGTGAGTAGCACCTAGTTGCCAGAAACAAGATGTCTAGTAACTTATATCTACTCATCTTAATCTCCCTCTACCTTCTACACATAATCTAAGATATTTTATATTTATTCCCACAAAATCTAGGTTCATTTCTTCCAGCCAATACCTCCTATAATACATTTATGCCAAATATCAGTTGAATTATCCTTTCAATAAAAAGATTTAGCAGGTTCCTGTTAAAAGATTTGGCACCTTGACACTGTGATCTTCAATAAGGTCGTGAATTCTTATCACAACCAATCATCCTCTTATTTTCCATCCTGATAAAAAAGCTATTTTAAAATATAAAATGAAGTAAATCTCATCATATTGCCATGAAGTTTTTAACTATCATATATTATAAGTTAACATTTTCAAGAGTTCACATATAGGTTTTTTTAATTTATTTTTTATTTTTTTATTGAGAGTGAGTCTCACTCTGTCACCCAGGCTGGAGTGCAGTGGCACAATCTTGGCTCACTGCAACCTCCACCTCCTGGGTTCAAGCAATTCTCCTGACTCAGCCTACCATGTAGCTGGGATTACAGACACGCATCACCACACCTGGCTAAGTTTTGCATTTTTAGTAGAGACGGGATTTCACTGTGTTGGCCAGGCTGGTCTCAAACTCCTGACCTCATGTGATCCAGCTCACCTCAGCCTCCCAAAGTGCTGGGATTAAGGTGTGAGCCACTGCACCTGGCCCACATATAGTTTTTAAATATTTTTAAAGTGAAAACACTTTGTTTAAAACCTAATTCATAAATTGACAGGTTATTTGGAGTATATGTTAAGCAGGTATCTCTTTCACCAAACTAGTAAGCAATGTTGATCTATACCCTGTATCATTTTATAGAACTGGCTATTAGTATATATGATAAAAGAGAATTGATCCTTTTTTTGTATACATCTATGTGTATGTAGATATATAGCTGTACACTTTTTTGTATTTCAGGAGTTACACTGTTTGTGATATGGTGTATGACCTTAGCAATCTTAGGCTCTGAAGCTCTCCCTGGTGGAAATTTATCTGGATTGTTAATTATTTTTTATAGTGCCATTATTGGGGGAAAAATTTTACAACTCTTTAGAATACCTTTAGTGCCTCCACTTCCACCTTTTCTTGGTAAGTATATAATTAGCTCTCTTTTCTTTATTATTGACTATATGCAAATTTTGAACATTTTCTTGTTGAATTAGTTATAATTCAGAAATATTTCAATATAGTATGTTTTATATAGTTTCTTCATATGTGTATTTACTGTGTGTGTGTGTATGTGTACAGCTCCTTTATAGGGGCATTTATTTCTCTCTCTGTCTACATATATACACACACAAGTTTTATCCAAAATTTATTTTAAAAATAAATTTAATATCCTTAGTACATTATTCCTGTTGCTTTATTGTTTAATAGAATCTTTAAAAATTTTAGATTCACGGAGTACATGTGCAGGTTTGGTACATGGATATATTGCACAATGGTGAGATTTGGGCTCTAGTGAACCCATCACCAAACAGTGAATACTATACCCAATAGGTAATTTTTCAACCTTAACCCTCCAACCCTCTCTCCTTTTGGACTCCCCAGTGTCTATTATTTCTATCTTTATGTCCATATGTACCCATTGTTTAGCTCCCACGTATAAGTGAAAACGTGATATTTGAGTTTTCTGTTTCTGAGTTATTTCACTTAGGATAATGGTGTTCAGCTCTATCCATGTTGCTACAAAGAACATGATGCCATTCTTTTTTATGACTGCATAGTATTCCATGGTGTATATGTACCACATTTTCTTTATTTAGTCATTTAAGTTGATTCCATGTCTTTTTATTGTGAATAGTGCCGCAATGAACATGTGTGTGTGTATGTCTTTATGGAAGAATGATTCACATGTTAAACCATCCTTGTATTTCTGGAGTAAAACCCACCTAACTATATTATCTTTTTGATGTACTATAGAATTCATTTTGCTAGTTGAGAATTTTTGCATCTATGTTCATCAGGGATATTGACCAGTTGTGTGTGTGTGTGTGTGTGTGTGTGTGTGTGTGTGTGTGTGTGTGTTTATGGCTTTGCCTGATTTGGGTATAATTGTGATACTAGATTCATAGAATGTGTTAGGAAGGGAGTCCCTCCTTGATTTTTTTGGATTAAGTTTCAGTCACCTTTGACCCTGAACTAGTATTCTAGTGGATTGTACAATGACCCTGAACTAGTGGATTGTACAATGAATAAATGAATTAATATAAATTATTGTAAAATAAAATTTTGTTAAGTATATGATAGCCATACAAATGCAAGACAATAAACAACGTGATATGAAAACTCTCAGCCAGCCTACCATATTTGTGTTTGTTTTTGAACTGCATAGTGGGAGGAGGAGCTCCTTACAATTTTCACTTTGTAAACATTTATCCTTTGATTTTAACATTCACTGCTATAACCACCATCACTCGTGGATTCACCAAAAAATAAGTAAATAATTATCTTATTTGTTTTTATAAAACTTTGTAAAATGTATGTAGAGCTCACATTTATTTCATTGTTTAATACTAGAAGTGTTTTGGATCTTTATTTAGAAGTTTGATGATGTTTTGTGACCAGAAATATACTGTAGGAAATTGACTCTTGTTTATACCATTTAGCCTATGCTAAAATTGGTTTTGTTATATAGCAATTTACTCTAAGTTGCCATTTCCAATCACCTATCGACGATGTTAAGTGAGACCTTACTGTATTCAAATATATCTAAATATTCAGTACAGTGGGCCAGGCATGGTGGCTCATGCCCATAATCCCAGCACTTTGGGAAGCCAAGGCAGGAGGATCACCTGAGCCCAGGAGTTCAAAACCAGCCTGGGCAACATAGCAGACCTTGTTTTTACAAAATATTAAAAATTTTTCTGGGTCTCAGCTACTCAGGAGGCTAAGGCAAGAGGATCACTTGAGCTCAGGAGATTAAGCCTACAGTGAGCCATGTTTGCATCACTGCACTCACCTTGAGCAACAGCATGAGACCCTGTCCCCAAAAATAAATATATATTCAGTACAATGTCATTACAGATAATCTCTACATCTTATCTCTGCTGTCACTTCTGTATCCACAGTTTTCTTGCAGCACCTTCTAAGTATTTATTGAATCATTTTCCTCCTCTCCAAACTTCCTCTTTTGCTCTAGCTTAGGCTATTTGCTTCCAACTTTTGCGTGGACTGTGGTAGAGCCTTCAATTTGGTCTCTGTCTCCAGTTTTATCCATAACTAATTCACCAAGACCCTCATATAAAAATCACAAGACTCATTATGTTACTTCCTGCCTAAAACCTTCCAATGGTGCCTTACTTTGCCAAAGTGGGGGGAGACCTTTCTATGATCTGGCCCACCAAACTAATTCTCCTCCCTCCTTTCCTTGCCCTGTATGTTCCAGCAACACTAAATTACTTGTTGAACCCCATTTTGGTGTATTGTTTCTTATCACCATTCCTTTATTCATGCTGCCTTCTCTACTTGCTTGTAACGTGCCCTTTACCAAAATAATGAGAGACATAGTGCATTAGAAAATAAAGTAAACATTTCTGTTTTCTTTCTCAGAAAAATGAACTGTCATGTATGTTTATTTTCTTCCTTTTAAGGGATGTTAGTGGCTGGTTTTACAATTAGGAATGTTCCATTCATCAGTGAACATATCCATGTTCCTAACGCATGATCTTCAATTTTAAGAAGCATTGCCCTTAACATTATTCTAATACGAGCTGGGTTTGGACTCGATCCACAGGTAGATTTACAATTACAAATCGAGTAAGATTATTTCAAATATTAGAGGATGGTGAGAAAGAAAAAGAAGCAAAAATTTTATTTACCTGTTCCAAGTGGAGTCTGTAAACAAACCTAAGATAAAGAAAAAAAGGCCGGGCATGATGTCTCATGTCTGTAATCTACAAAAATTAGCCGGGTATGGTGGCATTTACCTGGTAATCCCAGCTACTCGGGAGGCTGAGGCAAGAGAATCACTTGAACCTGAGTGACAGAGGTTGCAGTGAACTGAGATAGTGCCACTGCAGTCCAGCCTGGGGGACAGAGTGAGACTCCGTCTCAAAAAACAAAACAAAACAAACAAACAAAGGTTTTATAAGAAAAACCTTATACAATTCTTTTTCTTTTTTTAGGGTGATTAAGGATTTCAGTTATTTTTTATGACGTTTTCTCTACAGGATTATGTTCCTGATTATCTTTGCATTATTGTAAAATCTAATCTTTTAAAGCATTTCTTAAAATATTACATTCTAGGGATCATAAATCCCATCTATAAGAAGATGACTATTCATGAATATGACAGCCACTCAAATAAATGTGGCAAATGTGGTTTAATAGAAATAGCTCAAGAGCATAAATAATTATAGCTAATGAGATTATATTCTCCAGTAGAAAGTATGAACCAAGGAGAAAATTGAAAAGTTCTCCCTTTTAAAATGAATTATGCAGTTTTTAAGTTATTTTCTTTGGCATGTTAGTATTGTATTTATACTTATTAAGTTAATCAAAGAGTTCATATCAAAAAGTTAATGGGAAAACACTAATATGACACTATTATTATACTATGTATTAGGAAAGTTCAGGAAGGTAGCATTAGCTATTTAATCACAGTAAAATTGATCTTTTAATAATTAAAATACAATAATATTTTATAAAAGATGAAATTGTTTATAATCCAACCTATGATGACATATAAAATATAATAGGGTTCAAAGTCCTGTGGGACAATCTGTTGAAATGAGATTTTGTTTAGTGAAAGCTTCTTATGAAAAAAGACTTTATAGTCCAACATTTGTTAAAATAATTTTATTTTTGGCCATTGTAAATGTATCAAATGTGACTGTTTTCTGTTTCAGGCTTTGAGGCATTTGAAGGTGGTTTGTTTCAGAATGGCTTTAGGTCCATGCCTTATGGAGGCAAGTGCAGCTGCTGTTTTTTCCCACTTCATTATGAAATTTCCCTGGCAATGGGCAATTCTATTAGGGTAATTTCTATCTCATTTTTTCTTACGGAAATATTCAATTAAGGATGCTTGGTTAAAACTGTTAAAATATTCAGAATATTGTATAGAAAAGCTCTATTAAAATTCATTTCACAGTGTTAAAATCCTTGGAAAGCAGTTGATTAAAAGCAGAGCATGTCCCAAATTGCACGAAATCTTTTTAACAAACATTCATAGCACCTAAATGTTTATCATCAAGAAAATTCAAGTGATCAATTTATTCCTTTTCATCTGTATTATAACATATCTGAATGTTTTAATCTATCTAATGGCCTCTTCCTCATAGCTATATGTAAATACAGTTGCACATTTCATATATATGTATGTGTATTTATATATATATTTGAGAAACATTTTATATAGACATAGGTGTATAAATATAAACTCTCCCATTTTGAAGAAAGCAAGCAAACAAAAACTCTTGCCGTATATCCAATACCCCATCCATCTTTATCTACCATCCATTTGTCTTATGTTTGAATTCCTCAGAATAAGTCTATAACTACTGTCTCTAGATCCTAACTCCTTTTCATTTCTTAATTCATCAACTTTTGTCTCTGCTTATCCATTCCAATGACATTCATAGCAAAGTTCATCCATTACATAGTTACTATAAAATCCAGTGAATTTTTAAATTAATGTATATGATAAAATAGTCAAATGCACTTTTATTTTAAAAATTAGAACTTATAAATAAAGGAGGAATGACCTTAAACTATGCCTTCAAATCATAATGCCCATAACTCTACCCAAAGTGACAACTCTTAGGAGTTTTTTTCTTCTCCAATTTTTATTTTGGCTCAAGGGGTACATGACCAGGCTTGTTATATGGATAAATTGCATGTCACAGGGGTTTGGTAAGGAGATTATTTTGTCACCCAGGTTGTAAGTATAATACCCAATAGGTAGTTTTTCTATTCTCCCCCTCCTTCCACCCTCCACCCTCAAATTCACCTAGTGACGATTGTTCCCTTCTTTCTGTCCATGTGTACTCAGTGTTTAGCTCCCACTTATAGGTGAGAATATGGGATATTTGGTTTCCTGTTCCTCCGTTAATTCACTTTGTGTATTATTCTATGGTGTATATGTGCAACATTTTCTTTATCCAGTTCACCATTGATGGGCATTTAGGTTGATCTCATGTCTTTTATATTTTTTTCATTAGTTTTTAAGGAACAGGTGGTGTTTGTTTACATGGAAAATATTTTTAGTGGTAATTTCTGAGATTTTGGTGCACCCATCACCAAAGCAGTGTACACTGCACCCAAGGTGTAGTCTTTTATCCCTCACCCTCCTCCTACTCTTCCCCCTAAGTCCCCAAAGTCCATTGTATCATTCTTATGCTTTTGCATCCTCATAGCATAACTCCCACTTATAAGTCAGAACATACAATGTTTGATTTTTTCATTCCTGAATTACTTCACTTAGAATAATGGTGTCCGACTCTTTCCAGGCTGCTGTGAATGCCATTATTTCATTCCTTTTTATAGCTGAGTAGTATTCCCTCTATGGTCTGTGTGTGTATATATATACACACATACACATATATATATATATACATATATACACATATATGTGTGTATGTACACACACACACACACACATATATATATATATATATATATATATATATATATATATATATACACCATATTTTCTCTATGTGTTCATTGATTGATGGGCATTTGAGCTATTTCCATATATTTCACAACTGCAAATTGTGCTGCAGTAAACGTGTGTGCAAGCGTTTTTTTAATATAATGACTTCTTTTCCTCTGGGTAGATACCCAGTTGTGGGATTGCTAGATCAAATTGTAGATCAACTTTTAATTATTTAAGTGGTTTTGTTTGCATTTCCCTGATAATTAGTGATATTGAGGATTTTTTCATGTTTCTTGGCCATTTATATCTTCTTTTGGGAAGTGTCTATTCATGTCCTTAGCACACTTTTTGATAGGATAATTTGGTTTTTTTCTTGCTGATTTGTTTGAGTTCCTTATGGGTTCTGGATATTAGTACTTTGTTGGATGCATAGTTTGTAAAGATTTTCTCCCACTCTATAGGTTGTGTTTTTACTCTGCTGATTATTTCTTTTGCTGTGTAGAAGATTCTTAGTTTAATGAAGTCCCATTTATTTATCTTTGTTTTTGTTGCCTTTGCTTTTGGGTTCTTGGTCATGAAGTCTTTGCCTAAGCAAATGTCTAGAAGGGTAATTCCAATGTTACCTTCTAGAATTTTTACTGTTTTAGGTGTTAGATTTAAGTCTTTGATCCATCTTGAGTTGATTTTTGTATAAGGTGAGAGATGAGGATGCAGTTTCATTCTTCTACATATGGCTTGCCAATTATCCTAGCACCATTTGTTGAATATGGTATCCTTTCCCAACTTTATGTTTTTGGTTCCTTTGTTAAAGATCCGTTGGCTTAAGTATTTGGCTTTATTTCTCAGTTCTCTATTCGGTTCCATTAGTCTATGTGCCTATTTTTATACCAGTATTATGCTGCTTTGGTGACTATAGACTTATAGCATAGCTTGAAGTCAAGCAATGTGATGCATCCACATTTGTTCTTTTTGCTTAGTCTTGCTTTCGTTATGCGGGCTATTTTTGGGCTCCACATGAATTTTAGGATTGCTTTTTCTAGTTCGGGGAAGAATGATGATGTAGATTGCTTTTGGCAGTATGGTCATTTTCACAATATTTTTTCTACCTATCCATGAGCATGTAATGTGTTTCTATTTGTTAGTGTCATCTATGATTTCTTTCTGCAGTGTTTTGTAGTTTCCACTGTAGAGATCTTTCACCTCCTTGGTTAGGTATATTCCTAAATTGGTTTGCTTGGGTTTTTTCTTTGGTATTGTTTGTTCGTTTGGTTTGGTTTTTTTGTAGCTGCTGTAAAAGGGGTTGAGATCTTGATTTAATTCTCAGCTCAGTCACCCTCGGTGTATACCAGTTCTACTGATTTGTGTACATTGATGTTGTATCCTGAAACGTTACTGAATTCATTTATCAGATCTAGGAGCTTTTTGGATGAGTCTTTAGGGTTTTCTCATTATATGATCATATCATCAGGAACAGCAACAGTTTGACTTCCTCTTTGCTGATTTAGATGCCCTTTATTTCTTTCTCTTGTCTGATTGCTCTGGCTAGGACTTCCAGTACTATGTTGAATAGAAGTGGTGAAAGTGGGCATCCTTGTCTTGTTCCAGTTCTCGGGAGAATGCTTTCAACTTTTCCCATTCAGTATAATGTTGGCTGTGGGTTTTTCTTTCTTTCTCTTTCTGTATTTTTTTTTGGGGATGGAGTCTTGCTCTGTTGCCCAGGTTAGAGCGCAATGGCCCAATCTCAGCTCACTGCCACCTCTGCCTCCCAGGTTCAAGCAATTCTCATGCCTCAGCCTTCCAAAGACCTGGGAGTAGCTCCCCAAGCTCGCCAGCATCTATTACTTTTTGACTTTTTATTAATAGCCATTCTGCCTCCTGTGAGGTTGTATTTCATTGCACTTTTGTTTTGCATTTCTCTAAAGATTAGTGATGTTGAATACTTTTCCGTGTACTTGTTGACTATGTGTTTGTCTTCTTTTGAGAAGTGTCTTGTCCTGTCCTTTGCCCATTTAATGGGGTTGTTAGATTTTTGCTTGTTGATTTTTCTAAGTTCTTTTTGTATTCTGGATATTAGACTTTTGTCGAATGCATGGTTTGAAAATATTTTCTTCCATTCCATAGGTTGTTTGTTGATTATTTCTTTTGCTGTGCAGAAGCCCTTTAGTTTAATTAGGTCGCAATTGTGAATTTTTGTTTTTGTTGCAATTGCTTTTGACATCTTTGTCATAAAGTGTTTTCCAGAATTGAAATTTCCTAGGATATGTCCAGAATGGCCTGTATGGAGAATGGTATTTCTTAGGCTATCTTCCAGGGTTTTTATAGTTTTGGGTTTTACATTTAAGTCTTTAATCTACCTTGAGTTGATTTTTGTAAACGGTGAAACGTATGGAGTCATTTCAATTTTCTGCATACGGCTAGCCAGTTATCCCAGCACAATTTCCAAGTAGGGATTCCCTTCCCCATTGCTTGTTTTTGTCAAGTTTGTTGAAGAGTAGATGGCTATAGGTGTACAGCTTTATTTCTGCATTCTGTAACCTGTTCCACTGGTCTATGTCTGTTTTTGAGTTCCTTATAGATTCTGGATATTAGTACTTTGCTGGATGCATAGTTTGTAAAGATTTTCTCCCACTCTATAGGTTGTCTTTTTACTCTGCTGATTATTTCTTTTGATGAGCATAACCATGCTGTTTTGCTTACTGTAGCATTGTAGTACAGTTTGAAGTCAGGTAGTGTGATGCTTTCGACTTTGTTCTTTTTGCTTAGGATTGCTTTGGTAATTTGGGCTTTTTTTTTTCTTTTTTTTTTTTTGGCTCCAAATGAATTTTAGAATGCTTTTTTTTTAATCCTGTGAAAAATGTCATTGGTGGTATGATAGGAATAGCATTGACTCTGTAAATAGCCTTAGACAGTATGGCCATTTTAACAATATTGCTTCTTCCTATCTGTGATCATGGAATGTTTTCCTTTTGTTTCTGTTGTCTCTGATTCTTTGAGCACTTGTTTGTAATTTTCATTTTAGAGATTTTTCACCTCCCTGATTAGCTGTATTCCAAGGTATTTTGTAGTTTTTTTTGTGGCTACTGGGAATGGGATTGCATTCTTTATTTGGCTGTCAGCTTGGATGATGTTAATGTATAGAAATGTTACAGATTTTTGTACATTGATTTTTGTATCCTGAAACTTTGCTGAAGTCATTTATCAGATCTGGGAGCTCTCGAGAGGCTACTATGGGGTTTCCTTGGTATAAAAGTGTTTCACCTATGAAGAGGCATGGTTTGACTTCCATTCTTCCTATTTAGATGTCTGTGTTTCTTTCTCTTGCCTATTGCACTGGCTAGGACATCCAGCACTATGTTGAATAGGAGTAGTGAGAGTGGGCATCCTTGTCTTGTTCCAGTTCTTAAAGGGAATATTCCAGCTTTTTCCCATTCAGTGTGAAGTTGGCTGTGGGTTTGTCATAAATGGCTCCAATTATTTTGAGGTATGCTCCTTCAGTAACTCATTTGTTGAGGGTTTATATCATGAAGGGATATTTTTATTTTTAGTCCTTTTTTATGATGAATCACGTTTATTGATTTGCATATCTTGAACCAAACTTGCATCCCAGGGATAAAGCTTACTTGATCATAGTGGACTAGCTTTTTGACATGCTGCTGGATTCAGTTGGCTTATATTTTGTTGAGGATATTTGCATCTATGATCATCAGGGATGACTGTCCTGAAGTTTTCTTTTTTGTTGTGTCTCTGCCAGGTTTTCATATCTGAATGATGCTGACCTCATAAAATGAGTTAGGGAGGGATCCTTCCTCCTCCATTTTTTGGAATAATTTCAGTAGCATTGGTACCAGCTCTTCTTTACACTTCCGGTAGAATTTGTCTGTGAATCTGTTGGGTCCTGGGCTTGCTGTTTTTTTTTTTTTTTTTTTTTTTGGCTCAGAGACTTTTTATTACTCATTCAGTTTCGAAACTCATTTTTGGTTTGTTCAGGATTTCAATTTCTTCCTAGTTCAATCTTGGGAGGTTGTATGTTTCCAGAAACTTACCCATTTGTTGTAGGTGTCCTACTTTGTTAGCATAAACATGTTCATCATAGTCTCTGACAGTTTTTTGTATTTCTGTGTGGTTGGCGGTAATGTCCACTTTACCACTTCTGATTGTATTTTTTGTATCTTCTCTTTTTTTTTTCCTTATTTGTCTAGCTAGTGACCTATCAAATTTATTTATTCTTTCGAAGAACCAGCTTTTAGTTCATTTATCTTTTGTATGGCTTTTCATGACTCAATTTCATTCCATTCTGCTCTGATTTTGGTTATTTTCTTCTGCTAGCTTTGGGTTGGATTCCTCTTGTTTTTCTATTTCCTTTAGGTATGATATTAGGTTGTTAATTTAAGATCCTTCTAACTTTTCAATATGGGCATTTAGCACGATAAACTTTTCCCTTAACACTGCTTTGTCTGTCTCTTAGAGAGCCTAGAATGTTATATCTTTGTTTTAATTAGTTTCAAAGAATTTATTGGTTTCTGCCTTAATTTCATTGTTTACCCAAAAGTCATTCAGGCACAGGTTGTTTAATTTCCATGTAATTGTATGGTTTTGAGAGTTCTTCTTAGTATTGACTTCTATTTTTGTTACACTGAGCGGTTCAAGAGTGTGGTTGGCATGATTTCAGGGGTTTCTTTTAATTTATTGAAAATAATTTTAGACTGATAGTGTGATCAATTTTACAATATATGCTATGTACAGATGAGAGGAAGATATATTCTGTTGTTGTTGGGTGGAGTGTTCTGTAGAAGGCTGTTATGTCCATTTAGCCAAGTGTTGACTTCAAGTCCTGAATATCTTTGTCCATTTTCTGTCTCTATGATCTGTCTAGTACCGTCAGTGAGATGTTGAAGTCTCTCACTATTATTCTGTGGTTATCTAAGTCTCTCTATAGGTCTCTATGAACTTGTTTTACAAATGTGAATGCTCCAGTTTTGAGCACATTTATCTTTCAGACTGTTAAGTCTTCTTGTTGAATTGAACCCTTTATCATTAAGTAGTGCCCTTCTTTGTCTTTTTGATTGTTGTTGGTTTAAAGTCTATTTTGTCTGAATTAGAATAACAATGCTTACCCTGTTTTGTTTTGCATTTGCTTGGTAGATTTTTTTCCATCCTTTTACTTCAAACCAATGGGTATTGTTGCATATGAGCTAGGTCTCTTGACAACAGATACGGTCGGGCTTTGCTTCTTTACCCAACTTGCCATTCTGCGAGTTTTAAGCGGGGCATTTATACTGTTTACATTCACAGCTAATATTGGTATTTATAGCTTTGGTCCTGCCATTATGTTGTTAGCTGGTTATTATGCAGACTTGATTGTGTTGTTACTTTACAATGTCAATGGTCTATGTACTTAAATGTATTTTTGTGGTGGCCATTAACAGTCTTTCACTTCCATGCTTAGCACTCCCTTAAGGACCTCTTTTAAGGCATGTCTGGTGGTAACAGATTCCGTTAGCATTTGTTTGTCTGGAAAAGATCTTACTTCTCCTTCACATATGAAGTTTAGTTTGGCTGGATATTAAGTTCTTGGTTGAATTTTTTTTTTTTTTTTTTTTTTTTGCGACAGAGTCTTTCTCTGTAACCAGGCTGGAGTGCAGTGGTGCTATCTCAGCTCACTGCAACCTCCACCTCCTGGGTTAAGTGATTCTCTTGCCTCAGCCTCCTGAGTAGCTGGGACTACAGACACGCACCACCATGCCCAGCTAACTTTTGTATTTTTATTAGAGATGAGGTTTCACCATGTTGGCCAGGATGGTCTTGATCTCTTGAACTTGTGTTCCGCCCCCCTCAGCTTCCCAAAGTGCGGGATTACAAGCATGAGCCACCACACCCGGCCAAGTTTTTTTTTTTTTTTTAAGAATGCTGAAGGCCGGGCATGGTGGCTCACACATGTAATCCCAGCACTTTGAGAGGCCGAGGTGGGCAGATCATGAGGTCAGTAATTTGAGACCACCCTGGCCAATATGGTGAAATCCTGTCTCTACTAAAATTACAAAAAATTGCCGGGTGTTGTGGTGCGCACCTGTAGTCCCAGCTACTTGGGAGGCTGAGGGAGAAGAATTGCTTGAACCCGGGAAGTGGAGGTTGCAGTGAGCCGAGATAGCAACAGTGCACTCCAGCCTGGGCAACAGAGTGAGATTCCGTCTCGAAAAAAAAAAAAAGAATGCTGAATATAGGTCCCCAATTTCTTTTGGATTGTAGAGTATCTTATAGTTCCACTGTTAGCCTGATGGGATTCCCTTTGTATGTGACCTGCCCTTCACTTTAGCTGCATTTCTTATTTTTTTATTTCATGTTGACCTTGGAGAATCTGATGACTGTCTGTCTTGGGGATGGTCATCTTGTATAGTATCTCACAGGATTCTCTGCATTTCCTGGATTTAAATGGTGACTTCTCTAGCAAGATTTGGGAAATTTTTGTGGGCAGTAACCTCAAATATGTTTTCCAACTTGCTTGTTCTTTCTCCCTTTCTTTGAGTGATGCCTTGAGTCATATGTTTGGTCTCTTTACATAATCTCAGATTTCTCAGAGGTTTTGTTCATTCTTTTTTGTTCTTTATTTTCATCTGACTGAGTTGATTCAAAGAAGTGGTCTTTGAGATCTGAGATTCTTTCCTCAGCTTGGTCCGTTCTGATGTTAGTATTTGTTATTGTATTATGAAATTCTTGAGGTGCATTTTTCAGCTCTATCAGTTTAGTTTGGTTCTTTCTTAAAATGCCTATTTCATCTTTCAGCTCTTATGTCGTCTTATTGGATTTCTTAGATCATTTGCATTGGATTTTGACTTTCTTCTGAATCTCAATGATCTTTGTTTCTATCCAGATTCTGAAATCTATGTCTGTCATTTAATCCTGGTTAACAACCATTGTTGGAGAGTTAGTATGATTGCTTGAAGACAGGAAGACATTCTGGCTTTTTATATTGCCAGAGTTCTTGCACTGGTTCTTTCACATCTGTGTGGGCTAAGGTTCCTTTAATGTTTTGAATCACTGTCCTTTGGATGGAGTTTTTTCCTTTTTTATATTCTTTAATGCCCTTGAGGATTTGACTGTGGCACAAGGTAGTTTCAGTCAAATGGCTTCATTTCTGGAAGATTTCAGGGGGCAAAGGCTCAGCCCAGCACTCCTGAACTGCACGCTCTAATTTTGCAACGCTGGTAACATACCCACAGATTTGTTGTCTGGCCCTTCAATGTTAAGCACTGAGGTGTTCCCAGTCGACTGGCAACAACACTCTGATGGGGTGTGCCAGACAAAGTGCTTCATTGTAGTGATTGTAGCAAGGTCCTCACTCACACATATGTGCCAGGAGCAGCAGCACACAGCAGGTATGCATGTGTTGGCAGGGGTGCAGTGCTGGCAGGAGTGGAATGGGAGTGTTCTGCATACTTGCACGTGCCAGCCAGGGCAATGGTGTTGTGGGGTGCACTCATGTGCCGCTGAAGACAGAGTGGCAGCATCTTTATGAGTTTTATGTTATCATTCTAGATCTTTAAAAATAATGTTCTGGACTTCTAACAAATGTATTTGTGAACCCAGAGAAAAAAAGAGTTTTATTTTGTGCATTTTTACTTAATCATACCCAAGAAAATTTTACTTAACAATTTTTTCTTTTCACTCAAGAATAGTCTTGAGGTTTATCCATCTCAAGATGGATACACATGTAGTTTATTCCTTTTAATTGTATAAGATTACATTGTATGTCAACAGCAGATTTTATTTACAATGTTATAACAAAAATAGCATTTTATTTGTCTCATTTTACATAAATACAAGTTTGTTTAGAATAGTTACCTGGGTTACATGCATTTTTAGTTTGATGTATACTGCCAAAATACTTTCGGTATGGCCACTTTAATTTGCCCTAATAACAATAGCTTAGGAGCATACCTGTTGTTCTTGAAAATCCTTGCAAATCCTTAATATTATTAAATTTTATAATGTTTTCCAGTCTGATAATTGAAAAAATGGCGTATTTTTATTTTAATTTGTATTTCTGTGATTATTCACAAGCTTGAATATCTTTTATATACGTGTTGTCCTTCAGCTTTTCCTTAGCCTGTTCATATCCTTTGTCCATTTTTTTGTTGAGTTGGTCTTCTTTATTAGTTATATCTGTTATAGGCATTTGTAAATTATATGTATTGCAAATATCAGTAGATATTTAATTTTGTTTGTGATGATTTTTTTTCACTCTAAAAAGTGTGTTTTGTTATTTTCAACAGAGAGAATTGCCAATATACCACACCGTTCACTTGACTTTGAAAATGAAAAAGAGAAAAAGGGGGAGAAAGAGCAGAATTGCTTTTGAAGTAGTACTTTATTATAGTACTTTTGAAGTTGCTTTTGAAGTACTCCTTTAATATAATTGAACGTATCACAATCTCTTTTTATGTCTAATGCCTTTGTATGTATCAGTCAAAAGGTCCTTTTTACCTCATGATCACAAATATATTATTCTACATCTTTTTGTTGTTGTTCAGAGTCTTGCTGTCACCCAGGCTGTAGTGCAGTGGCATGATCTCATCTCACTGCAACTTCCACCTCCCAGGTTCAAGTGATTCTCCTGCCTCAACCTCCCAAGTATCTGGGACTACAGGCATGCACCACTGCACCCAGCTATTGGTTTCACCATGTTGGCCAGGCTGTTCTCAGATTCCTGATCTGTCCACCTCAGCCTCCCAAATTGCTGGGATTACAGGTGTGAGCCATCACACCTAGCCCACTACATTTTCTTATTACTACTTTTCCTTTTGAGCTTTTAACATTTATTTTGTGTAAGGATCTATCTATATTCCTTTCCACATAAATAGTTATCTCAACACCATTTTTGAAAGATTTCTTTCTTTCTCCCACTGATTTAAAGTACCAGTTGTATGATGTAACAAATCCCATAGATTTGTTTCCACACTTTGTATTCTCTTTTCTTCCAATTTATTTTTTCTTTTTATATGTCATTATTATTCAGTTTTAACTATTTTACCTTTACAAAAACAGTATCTTGTTTTCTTAAGTTTACTTGATCTTTCATTCTAAGATCTTATTCTTCCAAATGAATTTTATAATCAGCATTTCATGCTCAGTAAAAATCCCAGCAAAGATTTTGATTGGTGTATCTCTGATTAATTCATTTGGGGGAGAGGTTACATCTATATATTATTGAGGCTTTGGCCGGGGGTGGTGGCTCACACCTATAATCCCAGCACTTTGGGAGGCCAAGGCAGGCATATCACTTGAGGTCAGGAGTTCAAGACCAGCCTGGCAAAAATGGTGAAACACCGTATCTACTAAAAACACAAAAACTAGCCAGGCGTGGTGTTGGGCAATGGTAAAATTGGGGCTTTTTAGTTCACACTTGTGAAATGTCTCTCTAAGTATTCAGGTATTATCTTAATTATTATATTATATTCACAATTTTTTATAAAATTATAGACTGTCTTCACAGTTTTGTTCTTAGATACTTTGTTTTTAATTGATGTTGTGGATTAAATTCTCTTTGATCACTTATTCCTGGGGAAGCCAGCTGCCATGTTCTGAGGCAGCCCTGTGGAGAAAACCCCATTGGAAAAAACTGAAGCCTGCAATGGTTACATGAATAAACTTGGAAGCAGATCTTCTCCACCCCACCCTACCTCATGGTAAATCTTAAGTCAAGACATACAACTAAGCCATGCCCAGATTCCTGACCCACAGAAGTCATAAGACAATAAATATTTGTTGTTTTAAGCTGCTATGTTTGGGGATGACTTGTTAAGCAAAATGAGAAAAATAATACAACAGATGATTACAATGTACAGCAGAGTTGAGGAACCACTGAACTAGACCAGTATGTGGTCTTAGATAAGTCTAGTCTCTTCTTCAGCCCACAGGGAAATCTGTAGCATAAACTGTGCCATAGAGTTGTACAGCCAGAAGCAAATCTCACATCAGTCCGTCATTGGCAGATGCTGTCTGGAGGGAAAGTAGAGGGGTGCACAACCTCCCTCGTATTCCCAGGTAGGTGCTTGTCAGCAGGACAAGGGTTCTAGAAACCTGCAGATATTAGCAGCCAACAAGAAGCACTGGGAGATGTGTTCATTGACCTGGTAAATGGATTCTGGCAGAAGCACCAAAAGCATTTCTACACAGGATATACTTTACGCTTTATAAAGTAAATGTAGAAGAGATGAGGTGAAAATCAGGATAAGATATGCCAATAGAAGGTATTCTGTGCAGGAACCTCGCCCTTCCTCATGAGTGTCATCAACCACTCCAGAAATGTTCTCATTTGCCTTTGTAACTTAGATGGCCACACTTGTTTTTTTGGGCAGACAACTCTGTTCCTTCCTTCCTTACTTACTTATTTACTCAAGAGGTAGGAAATGTGTGGAAGGTAGATGTGTCTGACCATTCTTACAGTGGCACTCCAAATAATCAACTATTTGGTTTCCCCAGCGGTCTCTCCTGCTCCCAGAATGTGTCATTTCAGGGCTTGGACCACTTGTAGAAGCACATGTATCTTTTGAGGCAATCTTATTTACATACATTTTGGTTTATGGTTTCCTTTTTTCAATCCTAAATTGTCTGTCTCTTATCTTTCTGGCATATACTTAGTTTCTTGTCCATTGATGATTCACCTTTTGCTTTCTAGTTAGGTTATGGATTTTTCTATTACCTTTACATCTTCACTTCAAAGGATTTAGGAATAGAGGGAGAGGCTGTAACCTGTGCTCAGCCCAACATTTGAAACCACGTCTGTATAAAATTTTAGCCAGCACTAAACAATACATGAAAAGTTTTATCACCATTAAATTGCATTCACTCAAATTTGAAATTCTTCTAAACAATGTTTGTTATAAATTTATTATAAACTACTTGTACTTATAAAACACTACTTGGTTAAAAAGCTGCTTTTAAATTAATTTTCATTCTTTCTTTCAGTTTTGTTCTAGGTGCTGTCTCTCCTGCTGTTGTTGTCCTTTACACGATGGTGTTGCAAGAAAATGGATATGGTGTTGAGGAAGACATTCCAACCTTACTAATGGCTGCTAGCAGTATGGATGACCTTCTGGCTATCACTGGATTCAATACATGCTTGAGCATAGTCTTCTACTCGGGTAAACAAGAAAATATAACAACCGCCAGATCATTCGTGACCTTTTTTATTAGTTCTTTAAACAGGGTTTCTGGCTTTGCTTCTTCATTTATTAACCAAGACTGTTCAATTTAACATCTTTTTAATCTCCATAGAAAGCTCATTCCAGACCAAGGAAGATATTTCAGTGGCTTAAGATACCACTACTTAACACACATGATCTCACTTTAATAATCATGTGACAATTAATTTGATAAACCATATTATTACTATTTATCTGCTTATGTTGCTTTTGAATTTTATCAGTTCTCATTAGAAAAAATTAAGCAGCAGTATTATTTGTACTACTAATATTTTAATAGGCATTTATTTGAAATGCACCTTTTTGGCCATCCTAATAAACAACTGGTTGCTCTATTATAAGACAACATAAACATACAGAGCTGGGACAGCCATGTGCCTTTTTGGTAGTGTTAGGACAAGATCCTGCACCAGTTCTGATTCCCAAGGTGATATCTGGTCTTGAATATCACTACAGAAATTGTGAAACTAAACGTTTCCACATTTAGTAATGCTTTAATTATCTGCAATGTTTGAGACTTCTGTATTATTGAAGCGCTAAACTATTTTTAAGTTGAAAAGTAATATATATAGTTTTATAGTTTCTCTTAAAATAAGAAAATATAAATAAATAAGAAAAAGAGGAAAAGTTAAAAATAAAATCTGCAATAGTCACATCCAGAAGAAAAGAATCATTTCCTTCTGAACCTTTTGATATAAATCCACCCATATTCCCTTCCCTTCCCTTCTTCCCTTCTTCCTTTCCCTTCCCTTCCCCTCTCCTCCCCTTCCCTTCCCTTACCCCTCTCTCTCTGTCAAATATTCTTATAAAAATCAGTGAATATTTACCAACATGTCCTTTTATTTATTTTTTTATTTTTTGAGGCGGAGTCTTGCTCTGTCACCCAGCTTGGAGTGCAGTGGCACAATCTCAGCTCACTGCATGCTCTGCCTCCCGGGTTCATGCCATTCTCCTGCCTCAACCTCTTAAGTAGTTGGGACTACAGGCGCCCGCCACCACGCCCGGCTAATTTTTTTTTAATTATTTTTAGTAGAGTCAGGGTTTCACCGTGTTAGCCAGGATGGTCTTGATCTCCTGACCTCGTGATCCACCTGCCTCGGCTTCCCAAAGTGTTGGGATTACAGGCGTGAGCCATCGCACCGGCCTAATATGTTCTTATAACCTGAATTGTTTTACACTTAACTGTATATCACAAACATGTTTCTTTTCAGTAAATGTATTTGTATATCATTTTTAATAGTTGTTTAGCTTAATGAAAGAGTATTCAATGTGCTGCATCATGATTAATTATCCTGTTCAAAATTAAAGTAAACTCCAATATTTACTATTAAAACAATAACTCGTTGTGCTGCTATAAAAATATTTTTTTAAATTAAAAAATTGGCCGGGCATGGAGGCTCACACCTATAATCCCAGCACTTTGGGAGGCCAAGAAGGGTGGATCACTTGAGGTCAGGAGTTCAAGACCAGCCTGGCCAACCAACATGGTGAAACCCCGTCTCCACTAAAAATACAAAACATAGCCAGGCATGGTGGTGGGCATCTGTAATCCCAGCTACTCAGGAGGATGAAGCAGAAGAATCACTGGAACCCAGGAGGCGGAGGCTGTATTGAGCTATACAGCCTGGGCAACAGAGCGAGACTCTGTCTCAAAAATTTTTTTTTAATTAAAAATTAATACTTAATTGAACACATAGAGAAATATTTGTAGCTAATCTTCATATTTTCTTAAGCTTAAATGTGTAATTGTTGATCTAAAAGGTATATACATTTATGAGTGTTCTGAAACATATTGCCACAATATCATGTCCTACCAGGGTACATAAACTTGTCATTTCCTCTCACCTCTCTTCAAAACTTGGTATTACTAGCCTTTTTCATCTTTGCTAATTTGATAGGTGAAGGAGGGATCTCTATAAATGAAGTACTTTGAATATTAGTGATGTTAAATATCCATGTTTATTAGTCATTGCCATTTTGTAAATTGCTTTTCTTGAAAGTTTTTTCCCTATTTCTTTTAGGTGGGTTCACCTTTTATTCTTTTTGATTTGTCAAGATTCTGCATTAAATTGAGAATGAAAACCTTTGTTTTATATACTTTAGTTTTTTCAATTTGTAATTTCGCTCTTAATTTTCTCACTCTTTTTACCATTCAGAAGTTAAAGCTTTTTATTGTCAATTGTGAAAATCTTTTCCTTCATGATTGGTATCTGTCATTCTTTCAAAAAATATTGTTATCAGTCATGTTTCAAAAAAATATTTCCAGGCTGGGCCCAATGGCTCACGCCTATAATCCCAACACTTTGGGAGACCAAAGCTGGGGGAATCACTTGAGGACATGACTTCAAGACCAGCCTGGCCAACATAGCAAAGCTCCATCTCTACTAAAAATACAAAAAGTTAGCTGTGTGTGGTGGCACAGGCCTGTAATCACAGCTACTCAGGGGGCTGAGGCAGAAGAATCGCTTGAACCCAAGAGGCAGAGGTTGCAGTGAGCCAACATCACACCACTGCACTCCAGCCTGGGTGACAGAGGGAGACTGTCTGAGAAAAAGAAAAAAAAAATCCTCTTCCTTTTGCCGGCTACTATGCCAAACACTGAGAATAAACAGTAGGCAACAACATCAGCTTTTATTGAATACTTGCTTGGCTCTTGTTCTAAGTTCCATATATGTCACCACTCATTTACAGGTAAGGAAACTGAGAAAGATGTTAAGTAATTTTCTCAAGGACAGAGATCCAATAAGTAGGGGAGCCAAGATGCAAATCTGGCAGTCTCACTCCACACCCACACATTTAACTCTTCTCTTCTCCACTGCCTCCCAACACAACAGAGAGACAAGATCAAATGGTGCATGTTCTCAAGGAGCTTGTATATTAAAGAAAAATTACAAATGGGATGAATATTACATTGTGAAGGTTAATATTAAGTAATTGTCAATTTGATTGGATTGAAGGATCCAAAGTATTTTTCCCGGTTGTGTCTGTGAGGGTGTTGCCAAAGGAGATTAACATTTATTTAGTGGACTGGGAAAGGCAGATCCACCCTCAATGTGGGTGGGCACCATACAATCAGCTGCCAGCATGGCTAGAATAAAGCAGGCAGAAGAAGGTTAGGAGAAGCTGACTTGCTGAGCCTTCTGGCCCTCATCTTTCTCCCATGCTGGATGCTTCCTGCACTCAAATATCAGATTCCAGGTTCTTTGGCTTTTGGACTCTTGGACTTACTCCAGTTGTTTTCCAGGGGCTCTCAGGCCTTCATCCAGAGACTCAAAGCTGGCCTGTCGGTTTCCCTACTTCTGAGGTGTTGGGACTCGGACTCGAGCCAATACTAGATTCCTTGCTCCTCAACTTGCAGACGGCCTGTTGTAGGACTTCACTTTGTGATGGTGTGATTCAATTCTCCTTAATAAACTCCTTTTCATATATATATATATATATATCCTATTAGTTCTATCCCTCTAGAGAACCATGACTAATACCGATTTTGATAATGAGGTAATGAAGTATTATTATAAGATACCTGAGGTTGTGGAAGTGACTTTGGAACTGTGTAATGTGCAGAGTTTGGAACAGTTGGGAGGACTCAGAAGAAGATCAGAAGATGTGGGAAAGTTTGGAACTGCCTAGAGACTTGTTGAATGGCTTTGACCAAACTGCTGATAGTGACTTGGACAGTGAAGTCCATGCTGAGGAGGTCCGAGATGGAGATGAACAACTTGTTGGGAACTGAAGTAAAGGTCACTCCTGCTATGCTTTAACAAAGAGACTGGTGGCATTTTGCCCCTGCCCTACAGATTTATGGAACTTTGAAATTGAGAGAGATGACTGAGGACATCTGGTAGAAGAAACGTTTGTTGTTGTTGTTGTTATAACTTAAGTTCTAGGATACATGTGCACAACGTGCAGGTTTGATACATAGGTATACATGTGCCATGTTGGTTTGCTGCACCCATCAACTCATCATTTACATTAGGTATTTCTCCTAATGCTCTCCCTCCCCGAGCCCTCCAACCCCCAACAGGACCCAGTGCCTGATGTTCCCAGCCCTGTGTCCAAGTGATCTCATTGTTCAATTCCCATCTATGAGTGAGACCATGCGGTGTTTGGTTTTCTGTCCTTGTGATAGTTTTGCTGACAATGATGGTTTCCAGCTTCATCTATCTCCCTGCAAAGGACATGAACTCATCCTTTTTTATGGCTTCAGAGTATTCCACGGTGTGTATGTGTCACATGTCTTAATCCAGTCCATCATTAATGGACATTTGGGTTGGTTCCAATTCTTTGCTGTTAATAGTGCCGCAATAAACATACATGTGCATGTGTCTTTATAGTAGCATGATTTATAATCCTTTGGGTATATACCCAGTAATGGGATTGCTGGGTCAAATGGTAATTCTAGTTCTAGATCCTCGAGGAATCGCCACAATGTCTTTCACAATGGTTGAACTAGTTTACACTCCCACCAACAGTGTAAAAGCTTTCCTATTTCTCCATATCCTCTCCAGCACCTGTTGTTTCCTGACTTTTTAATGATTGCCATTCTAACTGGTGTGAGATGGTATCTCATTGCGGATTTGATTTGCATTTCTCTAATGGCCAGTGATGATGAGCATTTTTTCATGTGTCTGTTGGCTGCATAGATGTCTTCTTTTGAGAAGTGTCTGTTCATACCCTGTGCCCACTTTTTGATGGGGTTGTTTGTTTTTTTCTTGTAAATTTGTTTGAGTTCATTGTAGATTCTGGATATTAGTCCTTTGTCAGATGAGTAGGTTGTAAAAATTTTCTCCCATTCTATAGGTTGTCTGTTCACTCTGATGGTAGTTTCTTTTGCTGTGCAGAAGCTCTTGAATTTAATTAGATCTCATTTGTCAATTTTGGCTTTTGTTGCCATTGCTATTGGTGTTTTAGTTATTAATTCCTTGCCCATGCCTATGTCCTGAATGGTATTGCCTAGGTATTCTTCTAGGGTTTTTATGGTTTTAGGTCTGACATTTAAGTCTTTAATCCATCTTGAATTAATTTTTATATAAGGTGTAAGGAAGTGATCAAGTTTCAGCTTTCCACATATGGCTAGCCAGTTTTCCCAGCACCATTTATTAAATAGGGAATCCTTTCCCCATTTCTTGTTTATGTCAGGTTTGTCAAAGATCAGATGGCTGCAGATGTGTGGTATTATTTCCGAGGGCTCTATTCTGTTTCATTGGTCTGTATCTCTGTTTTGGCACCAGTACCATGCTGTTTTGGTTACTGTAGCCTTGTAGTGTAGTTTGAAGTCAGGTAGTGTGATGCCTCCAGCTTTGTTCTTTTTGCTTAGGATTGTCTTGGCAATGCAGGTTCTTTTTTGGTTCCATATGAACTTTAAAGTTGTTTTTTCCAATTCTGTGAAGAAAGTCATTAGTAGCTTGATGGGGACGTCATTGAATCTATAAATTACCTTTGGCTGTATGGCCATTTTCACGATATTGATTCTTCCTATCCATGAGCATGGAATGTTCTTCCATTTGTTTGTGTCCTCTGTCATTTTGTTGAGCAGAGGTTTGTAGTTCTCCTTGAAGAGGCCCTTCACGTCCCTTGTAAATTGGATTCCTAGGTATTTTATTGTCTTTGAAGCAATTGTGAATGGGAGTTCACTCATGATTTGGCTCTCTGTTTGTCTGTTATTGGTGTATAAGAATACCTGTGATTTTTTCACATTGATTTTGTATCCTGAGACTCTGCTGAAGTTGCTTATCAGCTTAAGGAGATTTGGGGCTGAGATGATGGATTTTTGTAAATATACAATCATGTCATCTGCAGACAGGGACAATTTGACTTCCTCTTTTCCTAATTGAATAACCTTTATTTCATTCTCTTGCCTGATCGCCCTGGCCAGAACTTCCAAGACTATGTTGAATAGGAGTGGCGAGAGAGGGAATCCTTGTCTTGTGCCAGGATTCAAAGGGAATGCTTCCAGTTATTGTCCATTCAGTATGATATTGGCTGTGGGTTTCTCATAAATAGCTCTTATTATTTTGAGATACGTCCCATCAATACCTAGTTTATTGAGAGTTCTTAGCATGAAGGGCTGTTGAATTTTGTCAAAGGCTTTTTCTACATCTATTAAGATAATCATGTGGTTTTTGTCTTTGATTCTGTTTATATGATGGATTACGTTTATTGATTTGCGTGTGTTGAACCAGTCTTGCATCCTAGGGATGCCAACTTGATCATGGTGGATAAGCTTTTTGATGTGCTGCTGGATTCGGTTTGTTATTATCTTATTGAGGATATTTGCATCGATGTTCATCACGGATTTTGGTCTAAAATTCTCCTTTTTTCTTGTTGTGTCTCTGTCAGGCGTTGGTATCAGGATGATGTTGGCCTCATAAAATGAATTAGGGAGGATTCTGTCTTTTTCTATTGATTGGAAAAGTTTCAGAAAGAATGGTACCAGCTCCTCTTTGTACCTCTGGTAGAGTTCAGCTGTGAATCCATCTGGTCCTGGACTTTTTTTTGTTGGTAGGCTATTAATTATTGCCTCAATTTCAGAGACTGTTATTGGTCTATTCAGAGATTCAACTTCTTCCTGGTTTAGTCTTGCAAGGGTGTATGTGTCCCAGAATTTATCCATTTCTTCTAGATGTTCAAGTTTATTTGTGTAGAGGTGTTTATCGTATTCTCTGATGGTAGTTTTTATTTCCCTGGGCTCAGTGGTGATATCCCCTTTATCATTTTTATTGCATCTATTTGATTCCTCTCTCTTTTCTTCTTTATTATCCTTGCCAGCAGTCTATCAATTTTGTTGATCTTTTCAAAAAACCAGCTCCTGGATTCATTGCTTTTTTGAAGGGTTTTTTGTGTCTCTGTCTCCTTCAGCTCTGCTCTGATATTTTTTGCCTTCTGCTAGCTTTTGAATGTGTTTGCTCTTGCTTCTCTAGTTATTTTAATTGTGATGTTAGGGGGTCAATTTTAGATCTTTCCTGCTTTCTCTTCTGAGCACTTAGTGCTATAAATTTCCCCCTACACACTGCTTTAAATGTGTCCCAGAGATTCTGGTACATTGTGTCTTTGTTCTCATTGGTTTCAAAGAACATCTTTATTTCTGCCTTCATCTTGTTATTTACCCAGTAGTCATTCAGGAGCAAATTGTTCAGTTTCCATGTAGTTGTTCAGTTTTGAGTGAGCTTCTTAATCCTAAATTGAATTTGATTGCACTGTGTTCTGAGAGACAGTCTGTTGTGATTTCTGTTCTTTTACATTTGGTGAGGAGTGCTTTACTTCTAATTATGTGGTCAAATTTAGAATAAGTCAGATGTGGTGCTGAGAAGAATGTATACTCTGTTGATTTGGGGTGGAGAGTTCTGTGGATGTCTATTTGGTCTGTTTGTTGCAGAGCTGAGTTCAGGTCCTGGATATCTTTGTTAACCTTCTGTCTTGTTGATCTTTCTAATATTGACAGTTGGGTGTTAAAGTCTCCCATTATTATTGTGTGGGAGTCTAAGTCTCTTTGTAGGTCTCTAAGGACTTGCTTTATGAATCTGGGTGCTCTTGTACTGGTTGCATATATATTTAAGATAGTTAGCTCTTCTTGTTGCATTGATCCCTTTACCATTATGTAATGGCCTTCTTTGTCTCTTGATCTTTGTTGGTTTAAAGTCTGTTTTATCAGAGACAAGGATTGCAACCTCTGCCTTTTTTTGTTTTCCATTTTCTTGGTAGATCTTCCTCCATCCCTTTATTTTGAGCCTATGTGTGAATTTGTGCATGAGATGGGCCTCCTGAATACAGCACACTGATGGGTCTTGACTCTTTCTCCAATTTGCCAGTCTGTGTCCTTTAATTGGGACATTTAGCCCATTTACATTTAAGGTTAATATTGTTATGTGTGAATTTGATCCTGTCATTATGATATTCGCTGGTTATTTGCCCGTTAATTGATGCAGTTTCTTCCTAGCATTGATGGTCTTTACAACTTGGCATGTTTTTGCACTGGCTGGTACCAGGTGTTTCTTTCCATGTTTAGGGCTTCCTTCAGGAGCTCTTGTAAGGCAGGCCTGGTGGTGAAAAAATCTCTCAGCATTTGCTTATCAGTAAAGAATTTTATTTTCTCCTTCACTTATGAAGCTTATTTTGGCTGGACATGAAACTCTGGATTGAAAATTATTTTCTTTAAGAATGTTGAATATTGACCCCCACTCTCTTCTGGATTGTAGGGTTTCTGCCAAGAGATCAGCTGTTAGTCTGACGGGCTTCCCTTTGTGGCTAACCTGACCTTTCTCTCTGGCTGCCCTTAACACTTTTTCCTGCACTTCAACCTTGGTGAATCTGACAATTATGTGTCTTGGAATCGCTCTTCTCAAAGAGTATCTTTGTGTTGTTCTCTGTATCTCCTGAAGTTGAATGTTGGCCTGCCATGCTAGGTTGGGGAAGTTCTCCTGGATAATATCCTGAAGAGTGTTTTACAACTTGGTTCCATTCTCCTCATCACTTTCTGGTGCACCAACCAAATATAGATTTGGTCTTTTCACATGGTCCCATATTTCTTGGAGGCTTTCTTCATTTCTTTTTACTCTTGTTTCTCTAACCTTCTCTTCTCACTTTATTTCATTTATTTGATCTTCAATCACTGATACTCTTTCTTCCACTTGATTGAATCGGCTATTGAAGCTTGTGCATGCATCACAAAATTCTCGTGCCATGGTTTTCAGCTCCATTGGGTCACTTAAGGTCTTCTCTACGCTGTTTATTCTTGTAAGCCATTCGTCTAATCTTTTTTCAAGGTTTTTAGCTTACTTGCAATGGGTTCCAACATCCTCTTTGGCTCAGAGAAGTTTGTTATTACCAACCTTCTGAAGCCTACTTCTGTCAATTCGTCAAAGTCATTCTCCATCCAGCTTTGTTCCATTGCTGACAAGGAGCTATGATCCTTTGGAGGAGAAGAGGTGCTCTGAATTTTAGAATTTTCAGCTTTTCTACTCTGGTTTATCCCCATCCTTCTGGTTTTATCTACCTTTGGTCTTTGATATTGTTGACCTACAGATGGGGTTTTGGTGTAGATGATCTTCTGTTAATGTTGACACTATTCCTTTCTGTTTTTTAGTTTTCCTTCTAACAGTCAGGACCCTCAGCTGCAGATCTGTTGGAGTTTGCTGGAGTTCCACTCCAGACACTGTTTGCCTGGGTATCATCAGTGGAGGCTGCAGAACAGTAAATATTGCAGAACAGCAAATATTGCTGCCTGATACTTCCTCTGGAAGCTTCGTCCAAGAGGGGCAGCCGCCTATATGAGGTGTCTGTCAGCCCCTACTGGGAGGTGTGTCCCAGTTAGGCTACACAGGGTTCAGGGACCTACTTGAGGAGGCAGTCTGTCCATTCTCAGAACTCAAACACCATGCTGGGAAAACCACTGCTCTCTTCAGAGCTGTCAGACAGGGACGTTTAAGTCTGCAGAAGTTGCTGCCTTTTGTTCAGCTATCCCCACCCACAGACATGGAGTCTAGAGGCAATGGGCCTTGTTGAACTGCGGTGGAATCCACCCAGTTCAAGCTTCCCTGGCCGCTTTGTTTACCTACTTAAGCCTCAGCAATGTTGGACGCCCCCCCCCCCTCAGCCAGGCTGCCACCTCGCAGATGGATTTCAGACTGTTGTGCTAGCAGTGAGCAAGTCTCTATGGGTGTGGGACCCACTGAGGCAGGCACAGGAGAGAATCACCTTGTCTGCTAGTTGCTAAGACCTTGGGAAAAGTGCAGTATTTGGGTGGGAGTGCCCTGTTTTTCCAGGTTGTCTGTCACAGCTTCCCTTGGCTAGGAAGGGAAATCCCCCAACCCCTTATGTTTCCCGGGTGAGGCGACACCCCAACCTGTTTCACCTCACCTCTGTGGGCCTGCACCCCCTGTCCAACCAGTCCCAATGAGATGAACCAGGTACCTCAGTTGGAAGTGCAGAAATCACCCGTCTTCTCTGTCGATCATGCTGGGAGCTGCAGACCGGAACTTTTCTTATTTGGCAATCTTGGAAACCATCCAGGACATCTGGTAGAAGAAATTTGTAAGCAGCAAGGTGTTCAATTTATGACCTGAGTGCTCTTAAAAGTGTTCAGTTTTATGCATTCACAAAAATATGTTTTGGAATTAGAACTTATGTTTAAAAGGGAGCAGAGCATGAAAGTTTGGAAGATTTGCAGCCTGATGATGTGATAGAAAAGAAAACCCATTTTCTGGGGAGAAATTCAAGCTGACTGCAGAAATTTGCAGAAGTAACAAGGAGCCAAATGTTAATTGACAAGATAATGGGGAAATTGTCTCCAGGACATGTCAGAGTTCTTCACAACAGCCTCTCCCATCACAGAGTTGGAGGCCTAGGAGGGAAAAAATGTTTTTTTGTGCCAGGCCCAGAACTTTGCTGCTCTGTGCAGTTTTGGGACTTGGTGCCCTGTGTCCCAGCCATGGCTAAAAGGAGCCAATGTAAAGCTCAGGCTGTTGCTTCAGAGTTCAATCCCCAAGCCTTGGCAGCTTCCACGTAGTGTTGGGTTGATATGCTAGTTGGTCATTTGTATTTTTTTTGGAAAAAATGTCTATTCAAGTCTATCTTAGTCCATTCCTGCTGCTATAACAAAATACCTTAGGCTGGTAATTTATAAACAGCAGAAATTTATTTCTTGCATTCTGGAGTGTGAGAAGTCCAAGATTTAGGCTACAACAGACTCAGTGACTGGTGAGGTCACTATATTCACTATACATAGCACCTTCTCTGTGTCCTCACATGTTCAAAAGGGAAAACAAACTCCCTTAAGCCTCTTTTATAAAGGCCCTAGTCCCATTTCTGAGGACGATGACTTCATGAACTAATCATCTCCAAAATGCCCCACCTCTTAGGCTCTAGCATATGAATATTGGGAGAACATTTGGACCATAGCAAAGTCAACTGACCATTTCTCATTTAGGTTGTTTTGTTATTGAGTTGTTATTCTGTATATATTTTAGATATTAACCCCGTATCAGGTATTTGGTTTGCTGGGAGGTTTTTGATTCCTGATTCAGTTACTAGTTATAGGTTTATTAAGATTTTTTATTTTGTGACTTAGTCTTGGTAACTTGCATGTTACTAGGAATCTGTTCATTTCTCTTAGGTTATCCAACTTGTCAGTATATAATCATTCATAGTAGACTCTTAGAATCCTTTTTATTTCTGTAATATCTGTTGCAGTGTCTTCTCTTTTGTTCCTAAAAGAAGTTGAGTCTTCTTTATTTTTTTTCTTAAATATTCTAGCTAATGATTTGTTAATTTTGTTGAACTTTGAAACAACTACTAGTTTCATTGGTTTTTTTCTATTCTCTAGCCTTTTTTTTGGGGGGGGGTGGAATGCAGTTTTGCTCTTATTGCCCAGGCTGTAGTGCAATGTTGTGATCTCCGCTCGCTGCAAACCCCGCCTCCCAGTTCAAGTGACTCTCCTGTCTCAGCCTCCAGAGTAGCTGGGATTACAGGCATGCATCACCTTGCCCGACTAATTTTGTATTTTTTATTAGAGACAGGTTTCTCCTTGTTGCTGAGGCTGGTCTCGAACTCCCCACCTCAGGTGATCCACCTGCCTCGGCCTCCCAAATTGCTGGGATTACTGTTGTGAGCCACTGCACCTGGCCTTCTGCTCTAGACTTTATCATTTCCTTCTTTTTGCTAACATTGGGTTGAGTTCTTCTTTTTCCAGTTTCTTGAGGTGTAAAGCTAAGTTGCTGATTTTAGATCTTTCTTCTTTTTTAAGGTAGGTAGTTAGATATATAAACTGTCCTCTTCATATTCATTTTGCTGCATCCCACAAGCTTTGGAATGTTGTGTTTCCATTTTTATTTGTCTCAAGACATTTTCTAATTTTCCTTGTGATTTATTCTTTGACTATGTATTAATCAGAGTTCTCCAGAGGGTCAGATCCAATAGGAAATATAGACATAGATATAGATATAGATATATAGATATAGATATAGATACATATACATGCATCTATAAGAGAATATATTTACATATATATGAAATATAATATATTAAGGAGAATTGGCTCACATAATTACAAAGACAAAGTCCCACAATAGGCCATCTATAAGTGGGAAATGAGAGAAGCCTACAGCATGGCTCCCAAGGAAGCCAGTGATATGGCTCAGTCCAAATCTGAAAGTCTCAAAACAAGGGAAGCAGACAGTGAAGCCACTAGTCTGAGGCCCAAGGCCTGAGAGCTCCCAAAAGGCTGCTGATGCAAGTCCCAGGGTCCAAAGGCCAAAGAACCTGGAGTTTG
Organism: Homo sapiens; assembly: GCF_000001405.40. Taxonomy (NCBI): domain Eukaryota; kingdom Metazoa; phylum Chordata; class Mammalia; order Primates; family Hominidae; genus Homo; species Homo sapiens. The sequence goes on along the minus strand of NC_000024.10, from coordinate 11,356,541 downwards.
ATGTGCAAGTGCAAGAGGAGAAAAAGGCATACTGCTCTGGAAGAGAGAGACAGTGCATAAAAAAGAAATCAAAGCAAGCTGAATGTTCCCTTTCTTCTGCCTTTTTGTTCTAGTCACAATTGCAAACAATTGCATGATGCCTACCCACAGTGAGGATGGGTTTTTCTCTCTCAGTCCACTAACTCATCCATCATTCCCCTGTGGCAGCACCCTCACAGATATAACCACACACAGTGCTTCATCAGGCATCTAAGCATCCCTCAATCAAATTGACAATTAATATTAACCACACAGGCCAATTGGTTAAGAGAGTATATTTTTGTAATTTCCACATATTTATTACTTTTCCTTTTTCCTTCTGCTATGAATTTGTAATTTCATTTAATGTGGTCAGAAAAGATACTTGGTATGAGTTCAGTTCTCTTAAACTTTTAAAAACTTGTTTGTGGACTAGCATGCCGTCTATCCAGGAAAAGTCTTGGTATGTACTTGAGAAGAAAGCATATTTTGCTATTATTGGGTGAAGTGTTCTGTATATGTCAGACAGGTCCAATTGGTCTACAATGTTGTTCAAGTTCTGTGTTTTCCAGTTGATCTTCTGTCTGGTTATTGGATCCATAATTGAAAGTGGAATATTGAAGTTTTCTGTTATTATGATGTTGTTAGCTATGTTACCCCTCAATTCTGTCTATGTTAGCTTCATATATTTAGATGCTGTACTGTTAGTTGCATATACATTTATAATTGTTATATCTTCTTGGTCAATTGGCCCTTTTATTATTATGTAATATCCTTGTCTCTTGTGCTATTATTTGACTTAACTCTATTTTGTCTAAGTATGGCCATCCTTATTCTCTTTTGGTTAACAAATGCATTGAATATCTTTTTCCATCCTTCCACTTTCAACCTTTGTGTATGTTTAGATCTAACATAAGTCTCTTGCATATAGTATATATTTACATTTTTTAATCCATTCGGCAAATTCTCTGTCTTTTGATTGGAAAATTAGCCTATTTGCATTTAAATTAGTTACTGATAGGGAGGGGCTTACTATTGTCATTTTGTTCATTATTTTATACATGTCTTAAAGGTATTATTTTCCTCTTTGCCTCTCTTTCTGCCTCCCTTTGTTTCACTGATTTCTTTTTTTTGGTAGGGACGTGCTTTCGTTCCTTTCTCATTTTTATTTGTGTATCTTATGTAGGTCTTTTCTTTGTGGTTACTGTAGAATTACATAAAAACATCTTATAATTATAATAATCTATTTTAAATTGACAACAACTTAACTTTAATCACATACAAAAACTCTACTTCTTTACACCTCCTTCTCACTTTGTTATCAATGTCACACTATATATTTTATATTGTTTATTCACATAATTTAATACAGTAATATTATGCTTTTACCTTTTAAATTCTATGCTTCAATTAAAAGTGAATTACAGGCTGGGTGTGGTGTCTCACACCTGTAGTCCCAGCACTTTGAGAGGCCAAAATGGGAGGATCACTTGAGCCTAGGAGTTTGAGACCAGCAAGGCCTTATCTCTTCTAAAAATTTAAAAATATTATCTGAGTGTAGTGGTGCATGTCTGTAGTCCCAGCCACTCAGGAGGCTGAGGTGGGAGGATTGCTTTAGCCCAGGACTGCAAGGCTGCAGTGAGCCATGATCAAACCACTGCACTCCAGTCTGGGCAACAGAGCAAGACTTTGTCTCAAAAAAAAGTAAAGGAAAAAAAGTGTTTTGCTTACCACCATTAGAGTATTAAAGGATTCTATGTTCACTCATGTATTTACCTTTAGCAAAGAAGTTTATATTTTGTTTTCTTTTGTATTTCTATCCAATACCTTTTCACTTCCACTTGGAGGACTCTCTTTAACATTTTTTGTAAGGTAGGTCTAGTGGTGATCAACTCCCTCACCTTTTACTTCTCTGGGGAAATCTTTGTTTGTCCTTCATTTTTGAAGTAGAGTTTTACTGGCTATACAGTTCTTGGTTGATAGTTTTTTTTTTTCTTTCAGCCCTTTTAATATATCATCCCATTCTCTTCTGGCCTGTAGAGTTTTTGCTGAGAATTCCATTGATAACCATATGGCATCTCCCTTGTATGTGACAAGTTGCTTTGATCCTGTTCCTTTCAAAATTCTCTCTTTGTCTTTGACTTTTGACAGTTTGATTGTAATGTGTCTCATTGTAGGTCTTTTGCAAATTAGCCAACTTGGAGTTCTTTGAGCCTTTTGGATTTGTATGTCCACTTCCTTCCTTAAGTTTGAGAAGTTTTTGATCATTATTTTTTTAACTGGCTCTCTGCCCCTTTATTTTTCTCTTCTCCTTCTGGTACTTTCATAATGCATACACTGGTCTGCTTGATGGCATCCTGTAAGTCTCTTAGGCTGTCCTCACTCTTCACTCCTTTTCCCTTTTGCTCCTCTGACTCCATAATTTCAAATGACTAGTCTTCCATTTCACTGATTCTTTCTTCTGCTTGATGTTATTGAAACTGCCTTTGCAAAAATTGTAACTGAAGAAATTATGACAGCAAAAGACATCAGACTTAATCAACTCCATCTTGCCTCTAGCATTTAAACTGTCCTTGTTCATTCCTGGCAGTAGTATGAACTAATTTTGGGAAGGTATTCAGTTCATGGTTTGACTCTGAAACAAAGTTGATAATAGTCATTTCCCAAAAAGATACCCTTCTTGCCTGGAACCAGTCTGCCTTTGCAGGATAAACAAATTAGCTATAACATTATAAATTACAGTTGAGGGATTATGCAGCCTCTGGCTCTGAGTCTGATCCTCTCCAAATTGCTCCTGGGGATAAAATCACTATTGTAAAACCTAAAATCAGTGCTTGAGATATTTTGCAGACCCTGCACTGGATGAATCAGCTGGCACCACCTAGACTGGTAATATGGCTCAACTAGTTCTGCCACCCCACCCACAAACAGAAGACAGCAAGAAAACATCACTTCAACCCCGTATGATTTCATCTCCAACCTGATGAATAAGCAGTCCCCACTTCCCAAGCCCCGACCTGCCAAATTATCTTTAAAAGTTCTGATCCCCGAATGCTCAGGGAGACTGATTTGAGGAATAATAAAACTCTGATCTCCCGCACAGCCGGCTCTGCCTGAATTAGTCTTTCTCCACTGCAATTCCCCTGTCTTGATAAATCAGCTCTGTCTAAGCAGTGCACGAGGTGAACCCATTGGGCAGTTACACAGTCTAATGGTGATTTCTGATAGTGATTTTTTCAATTAAGCTATTGTATTCCTTAGCTCCAGAGTTTCTGTATGGTTCCTTTTTTTTTCAGTTTCTATATCTGTTAATATTTTCATTTTGTTCATGAATTATTTCCTGCTTTCACTTAGTTGTTTATTTCTGTTGTCACTGGGCTTCATTAAGATAGTTAATTTGGATTCTTTGTCAGGTAACTCATTTACCTATTTCTGTAGGGTTGGTTTCTGGAGATTTATTTTGCTCCTTTAATTTAGTCATCAGATTTCTCTGTTTCTTCTTATGTCTTGTTATTTTTTACTTTTTATTTATTTTTGCCAAGATTTGGGCGTTTGAAAAAACTGCCACTTCTCCCAGTTTTTATCAGCTGGCTTCACACGGAAGACCTTCATACCTGAATCAGCATGGCTATAGGTTCCAGCAGCCTCTCAAACTTTTTCTGAGAATGCATCTTCTTTGGGTTTATACATTGTAACATCCCAAGTAGAGGTTTGCCAGTTTCTTTTTCTAGAGCTGTTGCTCCCTTTGGTATCTGTCTGTGGTACTGCAGGTTCCCTGGTGCTGCATCATCTCTGACTTCTCCTTTATTCCCAGTGGCTCCCATGCATCCAAATTATGCCCGTTGGGCGTCAAGTTAGAGAGAGAGAGAGAGTTTCAGGTAACCTCATAAAACTATTCCGTTCCAGTCTTCTCTTTCCCTGCTAACGGAGAAGCTGCAAGTTGAGTGCTTCCCAGCCAAACCAACCTGCTCGAGCTTGGGGAAGGGGTATCATGAGTATAATGCAACAGCTTTTCTTATTTGTTCAATGCCACTATTCTTGGCTTAGCACTTGTCTGTGCTACTACAACTTCTTAATGGTTTATGTAGCTCCATAAAGGCTTTTAGACCATATATTGTTTTTCAGTTGGTATCTTTATGGAGAATCAAGGTTTGGAGCTTCCCATTCCACCATCTGGCTGACAACACTCTGTTTATATTATTTTTTATTTTTATTATATTTTATTTTCTTGAGACAGGATCTTGCTCTGTCAGCCAGGCTAGAGGGCAGCCTCGAACTCCTGAGCTCAAGGGACCTCCTCCCTCAGGCTACTGAGTACTTGGACAATAGGCACACACCACATACCGGGCTAATTTCTTATTTTCTTGTGAAGATGGGGTTTCACTCTGTTGTCCAAGTTGGTCTCAACTCTTGGGCTCAAGCAATCCTTCTGCCTTGGCCTCCCAAAGTGCTAGGATTAAAGGTGTGAGCCCACCATGTGCTGCCTGTTATATTTAATAGAAAATATATCTAAAAATATACTTACGTACTATATTGAATCCACTACCCAGAGCTTAACTGAACTATTTTTGTGACTCATTCTGTTTTTTTATTTTTTGTTTTTTACTTATTACAATGAACTACAAGTATGGATATATTAATATTAATTAATATAAAATATACTTGAATCTTTTGTATATTTTTTTCCTTTTTTCTTCACCAAAAGCAGAAACTTAAATGTACTGAAATCTTAAATGACCCTTGAATGTTTCTAGGACTGACCCTGGAACAAAATTTTTTATGTGGTTATTACATTGTTCTTTTCATGTTAAAATCATTTGTTTCTTTTTCATATAGTACATCAAAGAAGAATTGTTAATATAGCCCTTTCCAGCCATATGCTAAGTGCCACAAGAGTTTCGGTCTCTTTCCATTCTTGTACCCCAGTTGGTCTTTTTTTTTTCTTTTGGAGGTGTAGACTCCATCTTTCACCCAGGCTGGAGTGTAGTGGCACGATCTCAGCTCACTGCAACCTCTGTCTCCCGGGTTCAAGTGATTCTCCTCCCTCAGCCTCCTGAGTACCTGGGATCACAGTTGTGTGCCACCATGCCCACCTAATTTTTGTTTTTTAGTAGCGATGGGGTTTAATTATGTTGGCCAGGCTGGTCTTGAACTCCTGACCTCAAGTAATCCACCCTCCTCAGCCTCCCAAAGCGCTGGGATTACAGACATGAGCCACTGCGCCCAGACTACCTCACTCTGTCTTTTAAATTGGCTATATAAGGGGAGCATCTTGTGCTTGTTAAGTCTTTGTTTTCTGGCCTATTTATATAATGGACATTTCTGAGTTGTGTGTATATATTAAATTATTTGAGCATATATATTTAATGTACTAAATAGATCTACGTGTTTTCATACATGTCACTATAAAAAGACCATTTGCATATATTTGTTCTATAAAATGCTTACTTTTCTTCATGAACCACCTAGATTTGCTTTTCTGATGTGTAGTGTATGTGAAAATATTTCTTTGTGAATTTTTTTATTGTGTGCCCCTACAGGTGGTATGATTAATAACGCCATAGCCTCTCTAAGGAACGTATGTATTAGTCTGCTGGCCGGAATTGTTTTGGGATTTTTTGTTCGATATTTTCCAAGTGAAGACCAGGTAAATACAAAATCTATTTTATAGAAGTATAGTATTAGACATTTTTTCCAAAATATTAAACTTTGGTAAGATCCATGAAATTTAATACTTAACTCTATTTTTCTAAAACTAGCCTCCAATGCCTACTCTGTATTTAAAACTGAGCACAGCAGTGATTGATACAGGACAATGGCTTTGATTAAAGTCTCTGCTTCCTGATTTGGCAAATAAGGAATGTCAAAAAATATACTTAATGCAGAGTATCTCTCTGAATTATACTTTCCCTTTCTCTACTAAATTGCCTATTGATGTTTGATAATTTCCCCCAAATTTTCCGTTAAACATTTTAGGGGGAGATAGGTTCCCATTTATTTATGCATATTTTCTGACTGAAATTCACTCCAGCTATCCTTTGACAAAGGCAGCTCTCAAACTTAGCCATTTCCTGCCTTAAAGGAAAACATGTCATTACTTTCATATTTCTGTAATTTCCATCCAAATTTAGTTGCAACATACTGACCAAAGAGATATTCAAATATTTTTTAAGAATTCATTGGATATGTTATATGAAACTGGAGATTTTATGGGTCTCTTTTCTTCTTCACTTAAAGTAATACTTTAACCATTTTACTGATACTAGTATCAGAGATGTGGCAGAAGGTAAAACGTTATTAATTGGAAATTTTGTTACTTGGTAGTAAGTCTGCTAAAATGTATGGTGAGAAAGAAAATCAAAATTTTAGAGATTTAGTATAACATTTAAAGACATAATGTCAAAGGGTCAAACATATGTAGTAGATAATGTCAAATCTTGTATTATATATTTAATATAAACTAATTTCTAAATATCTATCTAATTCTAGAAAAAAATTACATTGAAGAGAGGATTCCTTGTTTTGATTACGTTTGTTTCTGCTGTCTTAGGCAGCCAACCTATTGGTTTACATGGATCTGGAGGATTATGCACACTAGTGTTGCATTTCATTGAATGGACAAAATGGTCCCAAGAAAAGGTGAATATTTTTAATATGCTATATTTTAAAAGCTAAGACAACTGAATTTTTTGCATATATTTAGGAAATCCCCTCATTCTGGTTGTAAAATATTCCAAAGGTTTGCTACCCTCAAGAAAGTGTATGAATCAATCGAGGAAATAAAATATTTAGGAAAAGCAGCTGGAAGAATACTAATATGGAATCAGAAGTTGAATTAATCACATCAGGCTTCTCTTTTTCCCAAGTTTTATATAATATTATTATATTACTTATATCAATCTAATTATTTTATTCATTGAAATTTTAATTATACAATTAATCCATGAAGAATGTTTGTAAAAGGCCAGGTATGGTGGCTCATGCCTGTAATCCCAGAAATTTGGGAGGTCGAGGTGGACAGATCACCTGGGGTCAGGATTTTGAGACCAGTCTGGCCAACATGTTGAAAACTCATCTCTACTAAAAATACAAAAATTAGCTGGGCATGGTGGCATGGTGGTGGGAACCTGTAATTCCAGCTACTCAGGAGTCTGAGGCAGGAGCATTGCTTGAACCCAGGAGGTGGAGGCTGCAGTGAGCCGAGATCATGCCATTGCACTCCAGCCTGGGCAACAAGTGCAAAACTCCATCACACACACAAAAAATAATAATAAACAAATAAATAATAAAAATAGAAATGCTTGTAAAAGAATAAAGCATATAGAATAAAATGTAAAAGATTTCTTTATTCTCCACCACTGTCAAATATCTAACCCCCTTACATTTTTTAAGTAACCAGTATTCTATTTATAGACATTTAGATCGTTTCCACTTTTTGTTATTTATAAACAGTGCTGTCATAAACAGTGTTGCTCATGAAGTGATTCTTCTATTCCAGCCTCCCTAGTAGCTGGGATTACAGGCGTGCACCACCAGGCCCAGCAAATTTTTGTATTTTTAGGAGAGACGGGGTTTCACCATGTTGGCCAGGCAGGTCTTGAACTCCTGACCTCAGGTGATACTGCTGCCTCGGCCTCCCAAAGTGTTGGGATTACAGGTACATCTGTAGGAATAGAGTCCCAGAAATGATTTTTTTTTTTTGAGACAGAGTCTCTGTCTATGTTGCCCAGGCTGGTCTCAAAATCCTGAGCTCAAGGGATCCTCCCAACTTGACATTGCAAAGTGCTAGGATTATAAGCATGAGCTACCACACCTGGCTGGAAATGATCTGTGTTTTATTTTGATGGACACTGCTAAATTATCCCTTCAAAAATTTTGGTTATTTACACTCTGTCAACAGTGCACAAAAATATCTAATACTTTAACTCATCAACAGCACTTGGTATTGTCACTAGTTCTATTCTTTTTACTATTAAATGACCTCACCATCCAATTCTTATAGTTTCTTACAATTATGTGATGTTGTTATTCTTTATTTACATTTCTCTGATTAGTAGTATAGTAAGCTTCTCTTCATATATTCTTTTTAAATGATCTTCTTTGACCGTTTTTATTGGGTTATTTATTTTTTTGTTTCTAATTTATAGTTTCTCTTAGTGTTAGTGCTACTGATCCTTTGTTATGTATATATTGCATATAATTTTTGCTTATCTTCAACTTTGTTTATGGTTTCTGATGTATGAAAGTAAAATTTCCTATGACCAAACCTATTGGGTTTTCCTTTTTTTGTTTTGGATTCTGCATTTCATTTAAGAAGGACTTTCTCACTGAAGATTATAACATATAAACATTACAAATATATACTATTTTGTGTATTATCATTTAATATTTTGGTAGTTTTGGTTTGTTTAATTTGTTTTTTCATTTAGTCTTTTAATCTATCTGGAATTTATCTTTGTGAATGCTGTGAGGTAAGGTTATACATATATACATATGTGTATCTTACAAACTATATATATATACATACACACACACATACATTTTGTGAGGTAAAGTTATACATATATACATATGTGTATATTACAAACTATATATATATACACACACACACACATACATTTTGTAAGTTAACTGAACAGAGATAGAACTACATCATGCCTGATGTGTGTGTATATATATATATATACACACACATAAATATATATACATATTCAGACACACATATATATTTGCATGTGATGAATATGTACATACAGATATATGCACATAAACTAGACAGTCATTTTTTGCCAAATTGTTTATTTATTGACCAATTCATTAATAATTCAGTTTTTTAACATGAACTAAATTCTCCCATATATATTAATTCTGAAGTCTATTTAATCCTACTTCTCTATTTCTGTGCCAACACTACTGTTTTACATCACTGCAGTTTTATGTGTCAAAATCTAATATAGATTATACTTCTTTTTAAAGTATTTTTTGGCTGTTCCTACATACATTCTTTCTTAGATAAATTTTAGAATCAGCTTGAGAAGTTCCCTAATCAAAAATCATAGTGGCATTTTTCTTAGTATTCTTATATAATCATAATTATAAAAGAAATGAAATGAATGAAATGCAAATCAATAAATAAAATTAAAACTGCTAGAATTTTTTTAAATGGTAAAAGAAACAGAACTAAAACAAGTTTTAAAGATTAAAAGTAACAAATAGGATAATTATGCTGTAAAGAGTAGTAACATCGTTTTTCTTTGTTTTTCTTTTTTTAAACTATAATAAGTGGGGATCAGAAAACACAGTCATAAGGGAAATAGTTATGAAGATAGTTTATGCCTCAAGGAAGAGGCATCAAAGTTCTTATGTATCTTCTGTTTTAAAAAAAATTAAACCCAGACTGAGACTGAAATCTCTTCATCCAAATTCCTGGAGAAGAGCCAGAGTAATGTAGGCCAATAGGGGCCTTTCCTGTAACCTTTTAATTGGGAAAGTGGCACTGGGAGACATTCTTTTCCAGAAAGGGAAGCTGGGTAGGCAGCTAAATGAGAATCTAATATATGTTTTGGTTTTGTTTTAAGGAAAAAGTAACTCTAAAGTACTCAACATGGGTTCTTTGGAAGCAGGCCTAGCAGACTTCCAAATTGTTTTTCTTAGTAGCATATGCTATATATATCAGGATTCACTTTAATAGGATTGAGTTCCAGGATGGTTGTTAGTGGAAGGCTTCCCAATCCCCTTCTGAGAACCCAAATGTTTGCATGAACTGGGTATGTTCTCATCAGGCATGACGTAGTTCTATCTTTGTTCAGTTAACTTAGAGACAAAATCTGGAACTCATACGAAACATGGCTAGAACCCTAAGGACATCACTTATTCTGTGACAAAATGGCCAAATAGTATTATTTTATTGCTTTGTGCATTTCTTTTATTCAAATTCTACCTAAGTGTTTGAGTAAAACTATTGAAGTGCTCAGTTTTTATTAATTAAGTTTAACATTTTTATTAAAATAAAGTGTCTTAAATTTATTAAATGTTAAGTGACTTTAGGCCAGGCATGGTGGCTCATGTCCATAATGCCAGTGCTTTGGGAGGCCACAGCCAGAGACCACTTGAAGATAGGAGTTCTAGACCATCCTGGGCAATATAGCGAGGCCCCATCTAGATAAACAATTTAAAAATTAGCCCAGCATGGTGGTACACACCTGTAGTTCTACTTCGGAGACTGTGAGAGGATCATTTGAGCCCAGGAGTTCAAGGCTACAGTGAGCTATGATTATGACACTACACTCCAGCCTGGGCAACAGAGCAAGACCCCATCTCTAAAATACTTAAAAAGTGAAAAAAAAAAGGTGAGGGAGACTTTAACTTTCTGAAATATATTTATGTGCCAAAATAATTAAAAATGTTTTTCTCTTTTCTATAGATGAAAGTCCAAAAGATTATTACAAATGTATGGGATATTTTTCAACCACTTCTTTTTGGTTTAGTTGGAGCAGAAGTATCTGTTTCATTGCTTGAATCAAATATTGTTGGTAAGAATAATTAGAGCACAAAAAATATGAAATTCAAAAATATTTAAAAAGTTATAAATACATTTATTTTTATTTACAATATATCTTTGAATGGCTACAAGGACCTTCTTCAGAAACACATGTTGATACAGTGTCATATTTTCATATTGCTCTTCCTTTACACTGTGTGCTCTTTTTTTTTAAACCAAGGACAGCCTTGAATATCTTCCCTGAGTTATCTAAGGAAATAAATATAAGATTTCTTTTCTGAGGGAGCATATTTGATACGATCAGCACTTTTTGAATACTTTCATTGAAAACTATTGGCTGGGTGTGGTGGCTCATGCCTGTAATCTTAGCACTTTGGGAGGCCGAAGCGGGCAGATTTCTTGAAGTTATGAATTCAAGACCTGCCTGGCTAACATGGGGAACCCCATCTCTCCTAGAAATACAAAAATTAGCCAGGTGTGGTAGTGTACGCCTGTAATCCCAGCTACTCAGGAGGCTGAGGCAGGAGAATCACGTGAACCCGGGAGTCGGAAGTTGCAGTGAGCTGAGATTGTACCACTGCACTCCAGCCTGGGCGACAGAGCAAGAATCCTTCTCAAAAAGTAAATTATTATTAATAATAATAAAAGTATTCAAAAAAAGTCTATTAGTTCAGAATTGTATAAATGTCATCTGCCTTATTTTTCATGGTACCTCCACCATCAGATACTGTCTTGCACTTTACAGAGAATCCTCCATCATATTCATTTTTTATTATCATTGTTTTATGTAAAAATTAAACACATGAAGAGAAAAAAGCCTTAAAATGCTTTCAAAAGTCTTAGAAATCATATTCCTGGGCATAAAGAACATTTCTTCACAAATATTTTGTTATTTATGTTTGTTTTCATCTGTTGTAGGCATATCTGTTTCCACTCTGAGTTTGGCATTATGTGTTCGAATTTTAAACATATATCTATTGATGTGCTTTGCTGGTTTTAGTTTTAAGGAGAAAATATTTATTGCTTTAGCATGGATGCCCAAAGCTACAGTACAGGTAAGAACATATTAAGCCTATTGCTTAATGCTTTCATTTTGATGCTTTTAAAATTTAAAATGAAAAATGTTACTCCAATCACAAAATATGAGCTATTATCCTTATTTTTAAATGTTTGATTGATCATAACTATTCATTAAAATTAACGTAACCAGTCCCAGTTACTCAGGAGGCTGAGATGGGAGAATCGTTTGAACCCAAGAGGCGGAGGTTGCAGTAAGCTGAGATGGCACAACTGTACTCCAGTCTGGGCGACAGAGCAAGACTCAATCTCAAATAAATAAATAAATAAATAAACAGAAACAAACAAAGAAACTCAATGTAAACTTTTTCTATTTTTATTTTTATTTTCATTTTGAGACCAGGTCTCACTCTGTCACCCAAACTGGAGTGCAGTGGCACGATCACGGCTCACTGCAGCCTCAACCTCCTGGGTTCAAACAATCCTCTCACATCAGCCTCCTGAGTAGCTAGGATCACAGTCACCTGCCACCACACCCAACTGCTTTTTTTCAGATTTTTTTTTTTTTTTTGAGACAGTCTTACTCTGTTGCCCAGGCTGGAGTGCAGTGGCATGATCTCAGCTCAATGCAACCTCCACCTCCCAGGTTCAAGCGATTCTCCTGCCTCAGCCTCCTCAGTAGCTGGGATTACAGTTGCACACCACCACACCCAGCTAATTTTTGTATTTTTAGTAGATATGGGGTCTCACCATGTTGGCCAGTCTAGTCTCAAACTCCTGACCTCAAGTGATCCACCCGCCACAGCCTCCCAAAATGCTGGGATTACAGGCATGAGCCACTGTGTCTGGCCTTTTCTTTCTGATTTTTTTTTTTAAAGAGGAGGTCTTGCTATGTTTCCCAGGCTGATCTTGAGCTCCTAGGTTCAAGTGATCTTCCTGCCTCAGCCTCCTAAAGTTCTGGGATTACAAGCATAACCCACTGGGCCTAGCCAACATAACATTTGAAATCTCAGTTTTAAAAGCAACCCCTATTTGAAATCAAAAGGTATTGTTTCAATAAGTACTTCCTAAGTTTATGAAAATATGTTTTTTATTTTCCTAAAATACATAATAAGAATATATCTGAAAATTAGAGTTTTTATATGTTGCTGAATATAACAAAGCTGAATGTTATGATTTTAAAAAGTAGAGACACAGACCAGGCATGGTGGCTCATGCCTGTAATCCTAGCACTTCTGGAGGCTGAGGCAGGCAGATCACTTGAGCTCAGGAGTTCAAGACCAGCCTGGGCAACATGGTAAAACCCCCGTCTCTACAAAAAATACAAAAAAATTAGTCAGGTGTGGTGGCACGCACCTGTAGTCACAGCTACTTGGGGGCTGAGGCAGGAGGATTGCTTGAACTCAGGAGGTTGAGGCTGCAGTGAGCTGAGGTCATGCCACTTCACTCCAGCTTGGGTGACAAAGTGAGATCCTGTCGCAAAAAAAAAAGTAAAGTAAAATGGAGACACATTGATTTTTTAAAAAATACTTTTCCTACCTTGCCACTCACTCCATCACACAAATGCACATATATTTTTAATTACACATTTATTTGTATACTATTTGGTTAATGGCTAAACCCCTGCCCCCGCCCCCTTGATAGACTACTTAAGGACAGGGACAGTGTCTGGTAGTTGCAGTTGTTTTTCATTATTTCTCCCTGGCACTTAACACAGTGCCTGACATGCAGGAGGCAAATACGTATTGCATGCCTACAAGTATGAATGAACGGAAAGGGAAACCTTGTAATTTTGCCCTGTTATTCAAGGATATTCTCCTCCTACTAAAATATATGGCTACTTCTTGTTAGACTGTTTAACTTGGCAACATAATATACCTTAATTTCCTGTGGCTGTTTTCTTAGTTGTTATTCTAAAACAGAAGCTCCTAAATTTTCATGCAAAAAAACCTCTATTATCATGTTAGAAAAGCAGGTTCATAGAGCCAGACTACCTGTTTCAAATACCATGTTACTTGCCTATAACCTCAGGAAAATTATTTTCTAGTTTATCAGTTCTTCAGTGTTCTCATCTTACAATGAAGTCTATGACTGTATCTGTTTCTTAGCAGTGTTGTCAGGACTCAATGAGATAATCTACGTAAAGTGCTTAGCACTCTCTCTGGCATATGGTGGTGCTCAGTTAGCAAACAATGTTGTTATTTTATCTTACCTCCAAGTAATATAAATAACTTTTATTTTTAATGTCTACTGTAGGGAATAATAAATCTACAAAAGGAGTATCTGTTCTCTCTCCTTCCAACAATACTCTTGCAATTTTGTTTCATTATTTCATAATTTTCATAAAGCAGGGAAAAAAGAAAAGCAGGTATGAGGAAAGAGACCACTCACTTGAGTCCTGCAGTATTATTCTGCTTCTGCCTATTCCTGTCTGCTGGCTCCAGGCTAGCTTCTACACAAAGAATATCAAGCTGGTCCCAGAAACTGGCAAGACATAAAAAATTAATTATTTATACAAGTAGAGTCACAACAGCAATAATAGATAACAATAATGTCATGAGTAAATACAATCAACAAATATTTAAATTTCAATTTTAAATTATTTTCACCTTTATCCTCTTCTGCCATTCTCTGCTGCTAAAATAAAATTGGCTAAGATTCAGCTTTCTCTTGTTCCTCAGTTTTGAGTTACTGATAAAAATTGGACTGGAAAAATAGAAGCTATTAGGAGATTAAATAAATAATTTAGTTTACAAATGTAAGATCAGCTTGGTAATTGGATTTTTTTGAAGAAATAATATTAAATCTCAGTCACTAGGAGGAAATCATTTATCATCTAATAAAAGTCCTCACATAATAAGGTTGTCATAAGAATTAAATGAATTGATAAATGGAAAGCTTTAAGAATGATACCTGACATATGATGAATGCCATATAACTATAAAAATATTATTTCTAGTTTCACCATTATCGTCATCATCTCTTAAAAGTCAATGGGTTTGGTTTTTGTTTTTGTTTTTTTCTGTTGGCAGTTCTTTTATGTTCAAATCCTCTTCTAAACTGTAAGATTCTTTCAAGGTGGTTTTCTGCATGATTATTTCTTTCTCCCTAGCATCCTCCAGCACACTGGATCATGTTCAGTACATTTAAAGTTATGATATAAAAATAATACCATTTTAAATTATTGATTTAGGATATATAAATTGATCTTAAATTGAGGGGTTCTTTTGCCATAATGTTCCATATCAGAGGTAATGTTTCTACCATTATGTTGTTACTTTGCAACTCCATAGAAAATATGTTATATATTGGTATTTAATTCCCCCAAATTTTAAGGCAATTTCATCCCTAGTTATTAAACACAAGGAAAGAGAGTTAGCAAGAAATTTGCTTTATGTTATTAAAAATAATATGGTAGAAGGTAACTAGGGAAAAAAACTTGTGACCCAGTAGAGTCATTCTAAAACAAAAACTTCAAAGGAACTCATTCTCTGACCTGGCAGGGGATGAGGAGTGAAGGAGAAAGAAACTTACTACTATCTGAATACCTACTCTGTGCCAGGTATTCTTCACATTCTCATATTTAATTTTCACAACCGTCCAGTAAGATAAATATTTTGTTCTTCGTTTTACATGTAAGTAAGTACATGTACAAGTAAGAGTGTGAGTCATTTGTACAAGGTCACTAGCCTGGTTGCAGCAAAAATAGAATTCAAACCCAGTTTGCTAGATTCCAAGCCTGCTGTCAGTTCTGCTATAACCCAGTGCCCCCTGAATAAGGAGAACAATGAAAAGAAGGGCAACAAATCCTAGAGAACCATAAGAAAACTTAATATTTTATTTTGTCTTCTTGTAGTCAAAAACCACTGGTACACAATAAAGGCAACTAAGCAAAACCGGCTTCATTAGAACTCCTGGTGTTATGAGGGCAACACTCAAAAGAGATATTTCAATAGAGGAACACTGAGAGGACAAGAGTGCAAAATCAGCCCAAAAATGTTTGCATGCTGATTTGTCACTATTGTACTCTTCCTCCACATATATTTCCTAGGAAGAACATGGAACTGATGAGTAACTTATGAAAATTACTGAGTCCTTTTTTTTCTAATAGTCTAGTACTAGATTTTGTTTATTTTAACAGAGCCATTTACATTATATATTAACTCAGTTTAATATTTTTCTTTATGCCCCATTTTTACCCCTAAATGTAGGCTGTGTTAGGTCCTCTGGCTCTAGAAACAGCAAGAGTCTCCACACCCCACTTGGAAACATATGCGAAGGATGTGATGACAGTAGCATTTTTAGCCATCATGATCACAGCTCCAAATGGAGCTCTACTTATGGGCATTCTGGGGCCTAAAATGCTTACACGCCATTATGATCCAAGCAAAATAAAACTGCAATTGTCAACATTAGAACATCATTAAAAAGTTTACCTGTCATCATCTGCCTGCTTCTTTTAATGAATTATTTCACATGACAGAAGAATTTTAAAGTAGAAGTATGTAGGGACTGTACAGAAAATCCAGGATTTAGTAAACATGTGATTTCTGTACAGGGCTTTTCTTGGACTTTTTACTACAAAGTTAATTTAATAAAAATAATATTAAAAAGAATGCTCTCTTGGAATTTACATAGTGTAAGAACAAATTAAATCTGTAAATACCCTAGGAAAGTTTAAAGTAATCCGTCAGGCTGAATTTGATATCATAATACAAACTGAGCTTACTATAAAATTAAACAAACTTAATGGCAGAAAGAAAAACTTTGAATATTGAACTTGGTAAGATAGCCTAAGTTTCCAAATAGGAGGAGTAGAACTCCCCATGATGTCCAGTAATTCAGTTAGAAAGATCACTACAAAAAGAAAAATAAAAGGAGTAAAACACATCAACTTTAAATGGGTTAACTGAATAGATTTTAAATTCTGGTTTTGGTGACTGCCTGAATAAATAATATGTTAATTAATAGAACCAAGTTAGTCTTTCCTTATTTCTGCCATGCCCTTAAAATGAAAGTCTGATTTAGCAGTTTTTAGATGAAACACTATCTATATTTTTATTTATAGAAATAAAATTAAATCACAAATGGAAGTAAACTATATTTTTTTCAATTAGTATTTTAAAATCTAGGCATAAAAGGCGGCCTCCAAAAATGAAAGATTTGGAGACTACTGTCATGTGGCAGTTTCTTCTCCTTAGTAATGTAGAATTACCTTTTAATTCTGGCTGATTAAATCTGCCATGTTAATGTAGAACCCATCACAAGCAAAGTGAGTTTTAATTTACTTCAAGACTCTTTATTTTAAAGTTATAAGAGTCATATAAACACTTCTAAAATGGTCTTATTGAATGACATTTTAGAAATTGTTTAGACTTCTTTGGCAAAAGCTCAATGCAAGGACTGAATATTACTTTCATTCATCTATTTCCTCTTCTCCACAAGCAAGATATTAAAATACCACAGAATATGAAATTTGCACATAAATTTGCCAAGTGAAGCAATTAAAATTTAAGGCAATCAAAACTATGTGTTATTCCTGTTAAGTCTAAGGGCTTTTACAGAATATATCACCGAAACTGCCAAAAGTTCTAAAACCGTCTGAGAAATAACTTAGAAAATACACTCTGGGAGAATAACTCTGGGAAAAGATAAAATAGCTACTGTTTTAGTGATATTTTCTCTTTATAGTTTTACAGCAAAGTACAGACTCCATTTTCAAATATTGTAATTCTAGTACTCAAATTCTAAAAATTTAAACTGTGCCAGTGTTTTGACTACTATTTAAATAATGAAGACATCTCATTGTCACTTATAAAAAAATAAAAATATAGGCAGGGTGTTGTGGCTCATGTCTGTAATCCCAGCACTTTGGGAGGCCAATGTGTGCAGATCACAAGGTCAGGAGTTCGAGACCAATCTGACCAACATAGTGAAACCCCGTCTCTACTAAAAATTCAAAAATTTGTCAGGTGTGGTGGCACGCACCTCTAATCCCAGCTACTCAGAAGGCTGAGGCAGGAGAATCGCTTGAACCCAGGAGGCAGAGGTTGCATTGAGCTGAGATCGCACCATTGCACTCCAGCCTGGGAGACAGAGCAAGACTCTGTCTCAAAAAAAAAAAAATAAAATATATGTATATATATATATTTACAAGATAGTATTTTACATTCACAAGAGGATTAGATTTCAAAGTAGAAAGTTTATTTTAATAAAAGAGATATAATAAATAATTTTCAAAATGAGGAATTGTGTTTTTGATTAGGAGGAAAATTGTTGTACCTATTCTTTTTATTCTTTATTTATTGAACTTTCTCTAAGTGTCTGTGATATATGTTTATTATACTGAAATAGTCGCCGTTTTAAGGTAGTGTGGCAGATGTTGTTATTTATTTGAAATTTTATGTGTTTTATTTATAAAAGTTTTTATAAAAATTTATTAATATAATTTGAAAATTACAACCAGTTAACCATGTGTATGATATTAGTGTTTATAGTATTTAAATAAATAAGTCTGGGCACAGTGGCTCACACCATCCCAGCACTTGGGGAAGACAAGGCGGGTGGATCAGGAGGTCAGGAGAAGGAGACCATCCTGGCTAACATGGTGAAAACCTGTCTCTACTACAAATACAAAAAACTAGCCAGGCATGATGGAAGGTGCCTCTAGTCCCGTCTACTCAGGAGGCTGAGGCAGGAGAATCACTTGAACCTGGGAGGTAGAGGTTGCAGTGAGCCAAGATCACGCCACTGCACTCCAGCCTGGGTGACAGAGCAAGACTCCATCTCAAAAAAATAAAATAAAATAAAATAAAATAAAATAAAATAACAAATAAATACAAGATTGTTGTTTCTTATAAAGTTTTTTTGTATCTTTTTTTACTGTTTAAGGAATTTTTATTAAAGCAAAATTTTATAATCCAAATTATGTTTCCTTGCTCAGTTATCAATTCTGTTACTTAAAACAGAAGTGACATTCTTAGCTATTCCACACTAATGAATTCCAAAATTAAAGGAATGCTTTAAATTTTTATACTTTGCTGAAAATTATGTATCACAGAGTCTGAAAAGCATTACAGTGTTTTTATATTTTATTATTTTGGGAGGATTTTTTCTTTTCAAATCAATAAGTAATCTAGGACTATCATTGCATTTGTTAGATCTGACATTTGTTTGGTATGTAAAGTTCAAAGTTTCCTTTTTAAATTTATTTTATATTTTACAAATTTTTTCCATAGTATTTAAGGTTTTCGATATGGAGATATTTTTCTTCAGTGATGCTCAAGTTTCTTTCTCTGGTCCCTGATCAGTTTTAAACAATTGGAACAGCAGTGGCACCATTAACTGCTTTCTGGGCAGCCTCTTTAGCTTGGTTGTCTTGTAGTACAACTATACCTTTGTCAACCTTAGTATAGAGAGGCTCTGGAGATTCAAGTATATGAAGGAGTTCTAAATTACCAATCTCCAACAACATGCCAATGATTTTAGCAGCACGACTAGGGCATGGCTTGAGAAGAGGAAACAACCATTCACTCTTTTCCTTTTGCTTTTGAGGAGGAGCAGATGCCATCATGGAAGTCAAAGGTTCTTGACCTTCTACATGAACAGCAGGCTGCTGCATGGTAACCTGGGGCTGTGCATGAAAATGCCATTGAGGATTGTGAGCTTCCATAGCATATTTATACTGTGAAATGGTACAAACAGCAGGAGTATCTGTAGTAGCAGTAGCGGCAACTGCAGGATGTGCTCCTATTGTCTGTGTCGATGTGTTACAACAGCTGTGTTGACATGACTCATGGAAGCTGGGAAGAAGCTGGTCTCTTACTACTAAATGTAGTGAGCTAGGAGTGGCTTCGGCATATTTTTCAATGGATGAGGTCTGGCACCCTGAGCAATTTAGGGAGGATTTGATCTTAGTTGAGCAGTTTGGCTAGGAGAATACTTTGCAGCATGGCTCTCAGTCTGTGGGATAA